>NT_187684.1:0-200773 GCF_000001405.40 Homo sapiens | reverse complement strand
GAATTCCCCATGAGTCCTGTGACCTCAGCCCACACGGGGACCTACAGGTGCTACGGCTCACTCAGCTCCGACCCCTACCTGCTGTCTCACCCCAGTGGCCCCGTGGAGCTCGTGGTCTCAGGTGAGGGCGCTGACCCTGTCCTCTCTGAGCTCAAAGGCTCAGCTCAGGCCCTGCCCCCAGCAGAGCTCTGGACACTAAGGAAAGAGGGGAGTGAAGGGAGAGGGTCCGCAGGGGAGGGTCCAGCCCATGGGAAGATGGAAATAGACAGGGACCTCCCACCCCTGGCTCCCACCCCTGAAGTCTCAGTAGAGTAAAGTGCAGGGAGGGCTGGGAGGAGACGGGGGGTGAACCTCAAAGGAGTTGAGATTAGACTGAGGGTGGAAGACGGAGGCCCCACCTGCTCCCATCCTGGTGTCTCCACCTCAGAATCAGAGCCTCTGTGTCCCAGTCCCCAACAGACGCCCTCCTGGAGAGAGAAGCATCCAGGCTGCCGGTGCCACCTGCATCCACCCCCGACCCCCCCCCACCCCGCCCCACTTCCTGCTTTCCCCTGCAGCCTCCCCAGCACTCAGCGCACACCTGAGCCTCACAGGGACTTGCACGTGCTCCCGCAGCAGCTCAGGGAATGTGCACCGCTCCTCTTCTGCGCCGTTGACATTTTTTATTTGGGTTTTTAAAATCTCATATTGGCCTTTTTGTCCAAGCTGGTGAAAGTAGATTTGCAGCATCACCTATTTTTATTCTCACCCGGTTTCGTAATAGCCCTGATCTCACGTGCTCCCTGAGGTTTTGTAAACTTCAGGTAGAAATGTGGACTTCCTTCGTTCTGGACATTTGCTATGGAGGGGGTAGGGCTTATCTTTTCAGAAAAAGTCAAATGACTGGTACCACTCCTTGAAACCCTACAGCACTTTCCAGACCTCAGAGGGAGGGAGAGAGAGGCAGAGACAGAGACAGAGAGACAGAGAGAGAGATATTGGGGCCGCTCTTTCCTGGCCGGTTCATCCTGGCCTATTCTCAATCCACCAAGGCCCCGAAGCTCATCTCCCCTCCTCCTCTGCCTCCTCCTCCACCCTGTAGACAAGCGGCCATTCCTTTCTGAAGAACAGGCTGAGACCTTTCTGGGACCTGCTCTTTCTGGAGCCTCTGTTGCTCCCTGTCTGGGTCTCCACACGCCTCCTTCCTGGCCCTTTTTCCTATTGAGGAATCAGCTTCAATGTCACCTCCAAGTGTGACCTTCACTGACGACACAGCTCAGCCCAGTCCTGCCTGCTTCTCATTTATGTCAAGTAATTAACCAACCTACACCATGCGGCTGAATTCCTTCTCTCTCTCTTCCACTCTCTGCATATACGTGTGTGTGTGTGTGTGCGCGTGTGTGGTCACACCAACATCTTACGTGACATTGAAACCTAGTTATCCGTATATCTATACAAATAATATATATTCACACATAAATATAGGTCTCTACCAATATATCTAAAACCATTGCTACGACTAGTAAATTTCCACTGCTGTGTTTCTATATGTTTGCTGTTTGTCTCCAGGTGAACCCACACTTCAAGAAGGCAGAGATAGTTTTTAAGGCCCACTATATATATAAAACAGATATATATTTGTGTTTGTGTTTTTCTGTGTGTGTATCACATTCTACCTGTTGCTGCCTATACGAATAATTAGCTACCTAGAGATTAAATGGACAATGAAACTCCAGGTGAAGTGGCTGAGGGCATGAAGGGGAGGCAGCCCCAGAATTTCACCCCTTTGTGCTTCTGACATTGAGGCTCCCCTGATGACTAACCCTCATCCACGGAGCCTGGGTCCTCAGCTGGTGGATCCGTGAAACTCTCATCTCCGGGGGAGTTGGCTCATGTTCTCCTGTGTCCCAGGCTGCACAGAGAGCACACAGGCCTTAGTGACCTCTGTACTGGGGACCACTTTCCTTGCAGATCCTGAGCTCTCAGGATGCAGGAAAACTCTCTCCCAGATGACTCAGGAGCAATGTTTAAATCCATAGAACACAGGAAAACTGAAATCGTTCAATGAGGAGACTAGAGGGAATCCTGCTAGCGGAGGAAGAGGTTTTTTTTTTTTTTTTTTAGAAATTCTGTAAAAGTCACATCATGAGACATTAAGTAATAAAAAAAAAATTGCAGAGCCCAGGTGAGAGGCTGGGCTCAGGTCTCTTTTTCTCTGTTTTGATTCTCTGGAGCAGCTGATACCCTCAGCCCATCACAAAACAAGTCTGACTCTGAGACTGGTATGTGAGGAGATACTCTCAGTGATGGGGCTGGCACTGAGGGTTGGGTCCTGTGAAGGGGAGGTGGGTGCCCTGGGTGGACAATCTGATCCACCCTGACCTCTGTGACCTCTTTGTCCACCATCCCCAGCCTCACACCTTCAGGATTACGCAGTGGAGAATCTCATCCACATGGGCGTGGCTGGCTTGATCCTGGTGGTCCTCGGGATTCTGTCATTTGAGGCTTGGCACAGCCAGAGAAGCTTCCCAAGATGCAGCCGGGAGGTGAACAGCAGAGAGGATAATGTACTTTATAGAGTCGTGAAGCCTCAGGAACAGATCTGATGATCCCAGGAGGTTCTGGAAGAAAATCTAGGGCCGATGCTATCTGGACTGTCTGCTGGTCATTTCCAGAGGAAGGAATCAATGTCCGAGTGCAGGGACATTTTCTGGGGTGATCCATGGAGAACCATTAAAATGTGATACCTTTCCTCTCCATTAATGTTGACTTTCCTTGGTTGGATCTGCCTCTTTTCCCACACTTAGACATGAGGCTCCATCCCACATGGCAGCGTTGGGTCCACACCTCTGCACACCTGCATGCTCTGGTCCATGGCGTGTCACACAGTCCTCTTCATTTCTCATTGCCACACTTCCTGGTGTACTTTACTGGGTCTTCATGTCTTCAGTTCAGAGTTCCGCACCTGGTTTAGGAACTAATTCAACGGGAGAAGATCAGAGTCCGACCAGGAAAAGATAAATGCACCGTGATGCCCTCACCTCCTGTGTGGACCCTATGAGCTCTTCCCTCCTTATCAGATGCTATCTGTGTAGTTTCTCCTGAAATATCACCACCTGGAATCAACACACTGGCATTTGAAGTCACGACCCAATGGTATGCTAATTCTGAAAAAGACATTTTTTGAAATGCTATGATTAGTGGCATTTACCAATTTCCTTGACGTAAATTCTTTTTTCATGGCCATAATCAAGATGCCAACGAGACATCCCTGAATGCAGGGTTGGGAAGCGTTGGACAGACTTGTCTTCACTCATAAGCACCAGGCATCTGATAGCTCACGTATACATCTTATTACCTTCCATTTTAGAGTGAATAATCATTTCTACTTCAGTATTTTGGCACAGGTAAAAGCAGTCCCATTACTGCGCGTATACCCAAAGGAATATAAATCATTCTATTGCAAAGATACATGCACACATGTGTTCATCGCAGCACTATTCACAATAGCAAAGACATAGAATCAACCCAAATGCCCATCAATGATAGACTGGATAAAGAAAATGTGAGACATATACACCACGGAATACTATGAAGCCATAAAAAGAAACAAGATCATGTCCTTTGCAGGGACATGGATGGAGCTGGAAACCATTATCCTCAGGAAACTAACACAGGAACAGGAAATCAAACGCTGCATGTTCTCACTTACAAGTGGGTGCTGAACAATGAGAATGCGTGAACACAGGGAGGGGAACAACACACACTGGGGCCTGTCGGGGGGGGGGTGGGGTAGGGGTAGGGAGAGCATTAGGAAAAATAGCTAATGTATGCTGGGCTTAATACCTAGGTGATGGGTTGACAGGTGCAGGAAACCACCATGGCGCACATTGACCTATGCAATAAGCCCACACATTCTGCACATGTACCCCGGAACTTAAAATAAAAATAAAAATTAAAATTAAATTATGACACCATGATCCTAGCATATCCAAAAAAGACAAAAATGCCAATATCAAATGTCGGAGAAAATAGGGCTGAATTAAAAATCCAATACAACGCCGGGCGCAGTGGCTCACGCCTGTAATCCCAGCACTTTGGGAGGCCAAGGTGGGTGGATCACTTGAAGTCAGGAGTTTGAGACCAGCCTGGCCAAACGTGGTGAAACCCTGCCTCTACTAAAAATACAAAAATTAGCCGGGTGTGGTGGCACTCGCCTGTAGTCCTAGCTACTAGGGAGGCTGAGGCAGGAGAATCACTTGAACCCGGGAGGCGGAGGTTGCAATGAGCTGAGATCATGCCACTGAACTCCAGCCTGGGTGACAGAGCGAGACTCCGTCTCAAAAAAAAAAACAAAAAAAAAAAACCCTCAAAAGCTCAGGCAGCAAAAGCAAAAATAGGCAAATGAGATCATAGCAAACTGCAAACCTTCTGCACAATCAAGGAAACAAACAGCAGAGTGAAGAGACCACCTACAGAATGGGAAAGAATATTTGCAAGCAAGAGATTAATCTCCAGAAAATACAAGGAGCTCAAACAATGCAGAGGTTTTGAAGGATGGTGATGAGAAGGTTCTGCTACTTACAGAAAGGAAGTTTAGGAGAAACAAAACCACAAACCTAGGTGGTGGGATGGCTTGATCTGCTTCTGTCTGTGACTCACTTAACAGTCTTAAACACATCTCCCTAAGCCTCCTTCCCCCGGTGGGATTCCTGGGTCTTGTGAGGACCTCATCGGTCCCTCTGGTAAACCCAGGCACAGAGTGGAGCAGCTCTTGTTTTCTCAGGATCTTCCCCTTCACATACAATTAACGCACCCACACGATGCTACTCTTAGAACCCTTCAAATAAATGTTTCCCGGTTCATTCACTACCAGAATCCAAGCTCAGCTTGTTCCCCAGCTTAGGACTGAGTGGTATCTTGGAGGTAGTTTCCACCATAGCCCCCTTCCTCTGCTATAAGGCTCAGTGACACACCAGAGACACCCCCTCCAGCCAGGCTCCTGGAAGGTCTGGATGAAGACTGGGATGCTGAGGCATTGCTCAGCAATGTGGCTTAACTCAAACTTCTATGTGAAACTTCCAACCACTTTCAGCAAGGGGTCACTTCCAGCGTCTTGGGGTGTGAGGGCACTTTGGTTGGTCCCTGCAATATCAGACCCTATAAAGATCCTACAAACATGTTGCAGACTCTTTGAAGATTCTGGCACTTTCAGACATGCTGTTGGGAAATGGTGACACCCATAACCTTCTAGTTCCAGGACAGGGAGCCTTAGCCCAGGGCTATGTTTTCTGAGGGTCCTCAAAGTAAACAGTTCTATGTGCCAGGAGAACCCTAAATCTCATATGGTTCTAAGGGCAGAAAGCCACACACGCACCGGCAAAAAGCAAGAGATTCAAGGAAAAGCTGAGCAAAGACAGACAGGAAAACACACACATGATGAGCCAGCTTGTAGAGCTAGAACTGAGATGGAGAGAGGCACGAGTGGGTAACAGAGTGTGCTCCCCAGAACAGGTGGAGAGAATGCCTTTTTCATGCCCTGAGGATAGGCTGGGTAAGGCTTGTGCTCGACAGTCAAGGACTATTTTTTTCCCCAGGCGTCTACAAGAGACCTTCCTTCTCAGCTCAACTGTGCCCTGCAGTAAGTAATGATGGAGAGAATGTGACTTTGCTCTGCAGCTCTGGAAGCTCATTTGACCTGTGCCTTCTAACGAGGAAGGTAAGGCCCCTGGACACTGGCTCACTGGGGTGCAGAGACAGAGTGGGGCATTCAGGCCAACTTCTCTCTGGGTCTTGGGGCTGGTGATGGGACCTCTAGATGCTGCAGCTCTCTGTCGATGGCTCTGCCTGTGAGTGATCAGCCCTAGATGACCACTGTTACTGGGGGTAGCCCATGCCTGCTGCATGCCCTGTGAAACACTAAATCATATAGCCACGTCTGAGGGACAGCCTGCTGGAGACATGGGAATCTTAGGGATTCCAGACAAAATGAAGCAATGAGAAACACAAAGAGGAAAAGAGAGGTTGAGTATGACAGTGGTGTCAGGGTGTAGGGTGGTAGACAGGGCAGCTCCACACTCTCCACTGCTTCCTGTCTGGAGGCCCACTTTGGGGTCCTACTTATCCAGGTGAGTGAAGGAAGAGGTCAGGACAAACACAGGAGGTGAAGCCAGATACAGTGTGGGGAGATAAGCAGTGGCCTCAGCCTCTAGCCCTTTTCCATCTTCCAGAAGCCCCTCCTGAGCTCTCATCACAGACAGATTTCCCATTTGGAAACCCAGATATTTATCATGCCGGGGGGGGGAGGCAATGTCTCTTGATTATGGGGACTTTCCATCACCAGGCACCTGCTAGTCCTCTCTATACCTTCCCTTCAGGAAAGGAATTGTCCCTCATGGGATTCCAGGGAAGAGACCCCAGGACCCCTATCAGTCACTAGGGAGATGACAGAGTAGAGGAAGTCAGGGGACCAACCCTCCACAGAGAATGGTCCTACTTCAGTGGGGTGAGGGAAACTCTCACTCATCCATTTGCTGTCCTGTTACCTCGGAACCCTAAGAGAACTTGTTAGTCACACACAGAATCTACCCCTGAATGTGGTGTGCAAAGTGGGGCTCTTAGCCTCCAGTGTGAAGTCCCTGGGAAGATGGAATGTCCCTGTGTGAGTGAAGGCTGTGCCACCGCCCAGCTATGTGGCCTTGGGCTAGGCAACCCCTCCCAGGTCCCCAGTTCCCCATCTGCATCGGAGACTGTGGCCAGTGCGGGAATCCACAAGGCCCTTCAGCCTCCAAAGCTCTGGGACAGAGGCCTCGTCCACAGGGAGGAAGGGGTCAGAGTGACCTGAGTCCCTACTCAGGAGCGAGTCTAATCCACTCTCCATCGGGGCCTGTGGGGAAGGGAAGATGAAGAAACGGAGCCTGCACCTGGCTATGTGGGCGCAGTAGATTAAGGGGAGGATGAGGGTTCCTGAGAGTGTGTCATGTGGCAGAGACCCTGCAGCACACTCAGGAAGGGCTCTGGAAGGATCCAAGGAAATTTTCCAAGAAGAGGGCAGAGTAAGTGACAGAGACCCTCAACCATGGATTTCACTGAGGTGCCCATGATGACATAGGGAGAACGGGGGTGTCTGGGCAGGAAGAATATCGTCAGGGTGAAATGAATGGTGATGAGCTTCGTGTCAGAGCTCCTGTGGAGGGAGGGGCCTGGCCCACATGAAAAGGTCTCTGATCCTACCCCAGCCCCCAGCCCCTGTTCTCCAGGATGACACTGTGGGAATTCCATCAGGAGGGGTGTGATAGGGCTGGTCTTCCTGGCTCGATTCACAACACTGGCTGGGGACTGGGAACCCATGGGGAGCCACAGGTGGAAAGGGAGGAGCCTCAGTGAACCCAGCAGGAACAAACATAGGGTCTGACATGATGGAACTCACTTCCTGGAGGCCAAGAAAGACACTTGCGGGACAAAAGGGAAAGAGCGGTGGCTTGCTTAGTTCCATTCACTGACAACCCACAGGAGATGTCCAGTCCTTTTTTGATTTATTATTTTATTTTATTATATTTTATTTTATTTTATTTTATTTTCACATGGAGTTTTGCTCCTATTGGCCAGGCTGGAGTGCAATGGCACGATCTTGACTCACTGCAACCTCCACCTCTCAGGTTCAAGCGATTCTCCTGCCTCAGCCTCCTGCATAGCTGGGATTACAGGCGACTGCCACCACAGCCAGGTAATGTTTGTATTTTTAGTAGAGATGAGGTTTTGCCATCTTGGCCAGGCTGGTCTCAAACTCCTGATCTCATGTGATCCGCCTGTATCAGACTGCCAAAGTGTTGGGATTACAGGCGTGAGCCACCACACCCAGCCTTTTGTATTTTTAGTAGAGATGGGGTTTCACCATGTTGGTCAGGCTGGTCTTAAACTCCTGACCTCAGGTGATCCATCCACCTCGGCCACCCAAAGTGCTGGGAGTACAGATGTTAGCCACCGTACCCAGCGAGAGTTTCAGTGCTCTATCGGATTCCCTGCCTACTCCATGTTGCATGTAATGTTCCACCTCAGGGATGTTTCTCTCCTTTCTGTCTCCTTCCTCTTCTCCTTCTCCTTTTTTCTTTCTAATTTTTATTTTTTTGAGACAGAGCCTTGCTCTGTTACCCAGGCTAGAGTACAGTGGCACGATCCCAGCTCACTGCAACCTCTGCCTCCTGGGTTCAAGAGATTCTCCTGACTCAGCCTCTCAAGTAGCTGGGATTACAGGCACCCGCCATCACACCCAGCTAGTTTTTGTATTTTTAGTAGAGACGAGGTTTCACCATGTTGGCCAGACTGGTCTTGAACTCCTGCCCTCAGGTAATCCACCCGCCTGTGGCCCCCCAAAGTGCTGGGATTACAGGCGTGAGTCACCACTCCCAGCCCTGAATGATCTTTCCTCTTTAGTGTGTTCTCACAACCACCTCTCACTGAGCTTTCTTGTTTTTTGTTTTTGTTTTTGTTTTTGTTTTTGTTTTTGGCAGAGTCTGGCTTTGTTGCCTATGCTGGAGTGCAGTGGTGCAATCTCAGCTCACTGCAACCTCCGTCTCCTGGGTTCAAGCGATTCTCCCACCTCAGCCTCCTGAGTAGCTGGGATTACAGGCACCCACCACCACACCCAGCTAATTTTTGCATTTTTAGTAGACACAGGGTTTCACCATGTTGGTCAGGCTGGTCTCGAACTCCTGACCTTGTGATCTGCCAGCCTCAGCCTCCCAAAGTGCTGGAATTACAGGCATGAGCCACCACTCCCAGCCCTGGATTATCTTTCCTCTTTAGTGTGTTCTCACAACTACCTCTCACTGCTGGGTTTTCTCTCTTTCTTTTTTTTTTTTTTTTTTTTTTTTTTTGAGACAGTCCGGCTTTGTTGCCCAGGCTGGAGTGCAGTGGCGCGATCTCGGCTCACTGCAAGCTCCACCTCCCAGGTTCAAGCGATTCTCCCACCTCAGCCTCCCTAGTAGCTGGGATTACAGGCGCATGCCAGCACACCCAGCTAGTTTTTGTATTTTTAGTAGAGACAGGGGTTTCACCATGTTGGTCAGGCTGGTCTTGAACTCCTGACCTTGTGATCTTCCTGCCTCGGCCTCCCAAAGTGCTGGGATTACAGGTGTAAGCCACTGCACCCAGCCAGCTTTCTCATTCTTATCCCTTAGTTCTCTGCCAGGGAATAAGATAGAAACCATTCCCTCAACCACATTCTAGTCATGGTCCCTATTCTCATGTTTCCACTTCTCTCTCTTTGGTAATAAATCAATTAATTGAGAAACAAGTAGCTAAATGTTCATCTTCTGCTAGTCTGCATCCCCTTATTTTCCCAGAGCCTCCCCTAATGAAACTGACTTTATTTACTGAACGCAGGAAATGGGTCTCTCCAGATCAGGATGACTTTCTGCTGGGAAATATTTGTCTTTGCATCAGTGGGGAAAAAGAAAGCCGATGTCATGAGTGGAGGCTCTGAGAAAATAAGGGCTGTGTTTTCAGTTTAGACCCAGCTAAGTTGGGAGCTGACATAGATATGATGTTGGGTCCACCCTCCACGGGCAGGTTTTCAGACAAAGGATCCCTGGCAATCAGGGGACACCTCAGGTCTGGGCTGAGATGTGTGCAGAGGGCCTGGGTCCTCCTGAGCCCCTGCACTGGGGGGGGAATAAGAGACAGGCCCAGCAAGGGGCTGTCCACTTCCTGTGGGTTCACAGCTGTGGGGACCCAGGCAGGCGGCAGCAGGCTCTGACTTAACCACATCCGTGCATCTGTCTGTCATGGAGGGCCATGTGGTCACCTGTCCCACAGCTGGAGCACGCAGAGCAGGCATCATGGTGTCCATCCTCACTGTTCTTCTGTGCCTCAGTCAGTGGTGGAGAGACGAGGGACAGGAGGGGCACTGGGCTGAGGTGGGGAGGGTCCCACAGCAGCCTTGTTCACCAGAGAGCCTCAGGGCTCCAGTGGCTACTGGTGCTCCAACAGGAAGGGAAGCAGCCACACCTCTGTGTTCCAAATCCCCCACAGGAAACTCTTCTCCATGGCTGAGTCTGGGCCAGAAAGCCCAAGCACTTGCAGGTGAGTCTCTGCTAACCTCCCATGCCTGACCTCACACTCAGCACCTGGACTCTCATCTCAGGGGCTTCTGAACTGAGGGTGAGAAAATCAAGAGGGTCTGTGACCTGAGCTGGGAATGAGGAGCGGGGGAGGTCTGTGGACCCCAGCCTGTGGTTTCTTCCAGGGACCCTCCCCAAACCCAGCCTCTGGGCTGAGCCAGGCTCTGTGATTACCTGGGAGAGCCCCATGACCCTCTGGTGCCAGGGGACCCTGGATACCCAGGGTTACTATCTCACCAAGGAAGGAAACCCCATGACCTGGTACCAACAGAGCCCACCAGAGCCCAGGAACAAGACCAACTTCTTCATCCCATCCATGAGAGAGCACCATGCAGGGAGATACCACTGTCACTATCTCAGCCCTGCAGGCTGGTCAGAGCGCAGCGAGCCCCTGGAGCTGGTGGTGACAGGTAAGAGGACACTCAGGGGTCCCAGCCCCAGGCTCTGCCTGCAGGAAGGGGGTCAGCTCTCAAGGGCATCTCCGTTCTAATAACTCAGCCCTGGGGGATGATGTGGGACGCGTGAGCCCCATTTAAGACAGTGTCTCCTTCTCTCCTAGGAGCCCACAGAAAACCCACTCTCTCAGCCCTGCCGAGCCCTGTGGTGACCTCAGGAGAGAACGTGACCATCCAGTGTAGCTCAAGGGTGGGATTTCACAGGTTCATTTTGATTGAGGAAGGAGAAAACAAGCTCTCCTGGATGCTGGACTCACAGGAACTCTCCAAGGGGCTGTCCCTTGTCCCTGGCCCTGTTCCCTGTGGGCCGTGTGGCTGCCAGTCACCGGTGGATGTTCAGATGCTATGGGCATTACACGAACTTCCCCTGGGTGTGGTCGGAACCCAGTGATACCATGGAGATCCTGGTCTTAGGTATGGATGTCTTCCTCCTTGCCCTATTTATTTTTGAGAACTTACTCTCACGGAGCCCCATGTAGGAGGGTGGAACAAGGGAAGTTTGGGACTCCTGAGCCCAGAGACACTGAGTGTGAGAGACAGTGAGACCTGCAGGGCCAGGAGGGGAGAAGGAAGGGGTGTGGGAGGAACCAGCCCTCCTAGTCCCGACTCTTCTTTCCCTCCAGGCGTGTCTAGGAAGCCCTCCCTCCTGACCCTGCAGGGCCCTGTCGTGGCCCCTGGGGAGAATCTGACCCTCCAGTGTGGCTCTGATGTCGGCTATGACAAATTCACTCTGTACAAGGAGGGGGGACATGACCTCGTCCAGGGCTCTGGCCGGCAGCCCCAGGCTGGGCTCTCCCAGGCCAACTTCACCCTGGGCCCTGTGAGGGTCTCCCACGGGGGCCAGTACAGATGCTACGGTGCACACAACCTCTCCTCCGAGTGGTCGGCCCCCAGTGACCCCCTGAGCATCCTGATCGCAGGTGAGGAGCCCAGCAGGTTCAGTCAGGGACCCAGGCTCCGCACAGGCCCTGCTGGGGGAGCCCAGGTGGTGATGGCCGGGATGAGGGGTGGGGGTCCTAAGGGACGGAGAGACAGACAGAGACAGGGGATGGGCGGGGAGGGGGAGACTCAGAGAAAACAGAGACAGAGACACTGAGGGTCCCAGGGAGAGGCCTGGGGAGGTGTCAGCTCAGAACGAGGTGGGGCAGCCCCTCACCCATCCTTCTTCTCTCCAGGACAGATCCGTGGCAGACCCTCCCTCTCGGTGCAGCCGGGCCCCACGGTGGCCTCAGGAGAGAACGTGACCCTGCTGTGTCAGTCACGGGAGCAGTTGGACACTTTCCTTCTGACCAAGGAGGGGGCAGCCCATCACCCACTGCGTCTGAGATCAGAGCACCAAGCTCAGCAGCACCAGGCTGAATTCCCCATGAGTCCTGTGACCTCAGCCCACGCGGGGACCTACAGGTGCTACAGCTCACGCAGATTCTTCCCCTACCTGCTGTCTCACCCCAGTGACCCCCTGGAGCTCGTGGTCTCAGGTGAGGCCGCTGACCCTGTCCTCTCTGAGCTCAAACCTCAGCTCAGGCCCTGCCCCCAGGAGAGCTCAGGACGCTAAGGAAAGAGGGGAGTAAAGGGGGAGGGTCGGCAGGGGAGGGCCCAGCCCATGAGAGGGTGGAAATAGTCAGGGACCTCCTAATCCTGGGCTCCCACCCCAGAGACCTCAGATGGGGCTAAAGGCCAGGGAGGGCTGAAATGAGATATGGAGAAACCTTGGAGGAATCATGCTTAGGCTGAGGGTAGAAGATGGAGGCCCCACCCACTCCCCACCTGGGCTCCCCTGGCGGCCCCAAAATACTCAGTGCATACCTGAGACGAAGGGGAGATCATGCACCTGCTCACTGCAGCAATGCAGGCAAATTATTCAACAGCAAACCTCGTGTGCAATTCCTTTCTGTCCTTTATTTTTTATGTCCACATATCTAGTTTCTCTTTCTGTTTCTGAAGATTTCAAAGCAATGCTGGCATTTATAATTTACACATTTAATTTGTTAGGTAGCGTTATGATGTAAAATAACTGTGCTCTGATTTTCTTTGGGATTAAATTAAATATGTGCATTCATGATGGAGAATAACTTCTCATTAATAATGTCTTTGTATCCAATACATTTAAAATTAAACTTTATACAGTTAGCAGATGCTTGAAGTTGTATTCATAAAAATTGTGGACATTGTGAATTTTAAGCATTGTTTTACTACTTGAATAATTTGAAAGTCTTTGATTCCTTTCTATTTTCTAAAATTAGTTACGTATGGATGAGAAAGCTATTGGTTTGGGTATGCTAATTTTAGTTCCTATTAACTTACCACAGACACACTCCCTTTCAATCCTTTCCGAAATGATCTCTTCTGATTTATTGATAATAATTACATTAACCACAAGAAAATGGAGGACAAACTTGTTTGTTTCTAAATTATATAATACTCTTCTCACTTCAAATATATATGTATGTGTTTATATATACTCACACACTATTATATATCTTATAATATATATTATGTATTATATATTTATATATACACTATTATATATCTTATATATTATGTATTATATATTTATATATACCCACACATTATTATATCTTATAATATATATTATGTATTATATATTTATATATACCCACACATTATTATATCTTATAATATATATTATGTATTATATATTTATATATGCACTATTATATATCTTATATATTATGTATTATATATTTATATTACCCACACATTATTATATCTTATAATATATATTATGTATTATATATTTATATATACACACACTATTATATATCTTATTATATATTATGTATTATATATTTATATATACTATTATATATCTTATAATATATAATGTATTATATATTTATATATACACACACTATTATATATCTTATATATTATGTATTATATATTTATATATACATACTATTATATATCTTATAATATATTATGTATTATATATTTATATATATACACTATTATATATCTTATTATATATTATATATTTATATATGCACACACTATTACATATCTTATTATATATTTATATGTATACACACACTATTATATATCTTATTATATATTATGTACTATATATTTATATATACTATTATATATCTTATAATATATAATGTATTATATATTTATATATACACACACTATTATATATCTTATATATTATGTATTATATATTTATATATACATACTATTATATATCTTATAATATATTATGTATTATATATTTATATATATACACTATTATATATCTTATTATATATTATATATTTATATATGCACACACTATTACATATCTTATTATATATTTATATGTATACACACACTATTATATATCTTATTATATATTATGTACTATATATTTATATATACTATTATATATCTTATAATATATAATGTATTATATATTTATATATACACACACTATTATATATCTTATATATTATGTATTATATATTTATATATACATACTATTATATATCTTATAATATATTATGTATTATATATTTATATATACACACTATTATATATCTTATTATATATTATATATTTATATATGCACACACTATTACATATCTTATTATATATTTATATGTATACACACACTATTATATATCTTATATATTATATATTTATATATACTCACACTATATCTTATAATACATATTATGCATACACATATGCATAATACATATTATCTATACACATATGCATAATACATATTATGTATACACATATGCATAACACATATTATGTATACACACATATTTACACCTATGCATATATGTATGTATGTATGCGAATGTACCTCTGCCACGGCAGGGAAAGGTTCTATCACACAACTACAGAGCAGTTAGGAGAAGTGTAGACACAAAGGAATGCAGCAACTGAGGGACATGTTGGCTTAAGTCTCTTCAACTCCTCACACACCTCCCCCTTTTTTGGTTGATTCTCAGGAGCAGCTGAGACCCTCAGCCCATCGCAAAACAAGACAGACTCCAAGACTGGTGTGTAAGGAGATGCTCTCGGTTATGGGGCTGGCACAGAGGGTCAGGTCCTGTGAAGGGGAGGTGGGTGCCCTGGGTGGACATCCAGGGGTCCCGGGTGATGTTGATCTGCCCTGACCTCTGAGACCTCTTGGTCCACCATCCCCAGCCTCACACCCCCAGGATTACACAGTGGAGAATCTCATCCGCGTGGCTGTGGCTGGCTTGGTCCTGGTGGTCCTCGGGATTCTGCTGCTTTAGGACTGGCACAGCTAGAGAAGTCCCCAAGATGCAGCAAGGAGGTAAATACATGAGAGAACAATGCACCCTTCAGAGTGCCAGAGCCTTGGCAATGAATCTGATAGTCCTAGGAGGTTCTGGAAGAAAGTCTGGACCATCATTCGGGAAACCGTCTACTGAGAAAGTCGAGAAGGGGAGGCTTGGGTCAGGTTCAGGAAGATGTCTGGGTGCCTGTAGAGAACGCTTCCTCCATTAAACTTCCATTAAATGGCAGTGCTTTCAGTCCTGCTGTTGTGGATCCTCCGTGTCTGCCCCTCCCTTCCTTTCGCTCTCTGTGATGTGAAGGCACGTCCCCCATGGTGGGTTTGCATCCACACCCCTGCGATCACGTGCTCTGGTCC
Organism: Homo sapiens; assembly: GCF_000001405.40. NCBI lineage: Eukaryota > Metazoa > Chordata > Mammalia > Primates > Hominidae > Homo > Homo sapiens. The sequence goes on along the minus strand of NT_187684.1, from coordinate 185,582 downwards.
ACTGTCATGTAATACATTTGTCTTTGTTTCCAACTACCGCATTCTCTAAAGTGAACTATTGATTCTCCATCTTTTCAGTTCTGAGCATAGATCTGGATTAAATAACTGGAATAGGTGGGCAGATTTGTATTTGGGACTTTGAAACATGAGTCTGAGGCCAGGCACAGTGGCTCACACCTGTAATCCCAGCACTTTGGGAGGCTGAGGTGGGCGGATCACTTGAGGTCAGAAGTTCGAGACCAACCTGGCCAACATGGTGAAACCCTGTCTCTACTAAAAGATACAAAAATTAGCTGGGTGTGGCAGTGAGCACCTGTAATCCCAGCTGCTCAGGAAGCTGAGGCGGGAGAATAGCTTGAACCCGGGAGGCGGAGGTTGCAGTGAGCCAAGATCTTGCCACTGCACTCCAGCCTGGGCAACAGAGCAAGACTCCATCTCCAAAAAAAAAAAAAAAAAGGGAAATATGAGTCTGAAATGATGCCCTAGCACCCTCTCTGGACCCTGAATTCCCTTCACTCTTCATCGGATGATACCTGTGTACTTTGTCCAGAAATATCATCTCTCAGAATGAGCACACTAACGCTCGAAGGCTCAGCCTCATGGTATTCTGTTAAACTGGCTCTCTGAAAAAATTATTTTCTTAAGAAAACTCTGAACATATAAAGCCCCAGATTTATGGTATTTGCTGATTAGTGTGGTATAAATACGTCCTTTATGGCCAACTTCAGGGTGCCCATATGACGCCATTGAATGCACAGTTGGGAAGTAGTCAAAAGAATTGTCGTTCACACGAGTATGAACCAGTTGTAAAGTTTATTTAAAGGTTATAATAATTTCTGCTTCATTCTTATGGTGTAGTTTCAGTAAAATTGTAATGTCAAAAATCATAGCACAATGGAGGGAAAAGAAAAAAATAGGCCGGGTGTGGTGGCTCATGCCTGTAATCCCAACACTTTGGGAGGCCGAGGCAGGAGGATCACCTGAGGTCAGGAGTTCGAGACCAGCCTGGCCAACATGGTGAAACGCTGTCTCTACTAAAAATACAAAAATTAGCCAGACATGGTGGCGCCTGCCTGTAATCCCAGCTACTTGGGAGGCCAAGGCACGAGAATCGCATGAACCCAGGAGGCGGAGGTTGCAGTGAGCCGAGATCACTACAGCCTGGGTGATAGAGCAAGACTCAGTCTCAAGAAAAGAAAAAAGTAGCAAAATCATTTTTTGGAAAGAATATTGAACATGTAGAATTTTAGTACATTAATAGTAAGAGTACAAATTGCTTTAATCAATTAAGGAAGTGTATTGGAATTATCTAGTTAAAAAGAGGAGGCACATGGCTGTGACCCTTCTTAATTATGTACTTAATTATGTACCCTAGAGATAAATGTCTACTTATGTGTCATGATACACTCACAACTGTTATAGGAATGCTGTTCCTATTAGCCAAAGCTATAAAATACCAAAGTCCACCTACGAAAAAAATAAACATAGTGTGGTAAATAGACTCAGTGGAATATTACAAGGTAGTAAAATGCATAAATGAAAATAACAAACAGCACCATACTTCAATTTTCAAGCATAAAGTCAAGTAAATGAAGTATTATTTGAAAATGTGTGCATGGTTATTTCATTACATAAAGGTCAAAAGGAGGGTACATTTATTATTTAGGAAAACACACCTAAGATATCTTTGTAAAATCTGTAAAATCAATAGTACTGTTTCCCCTCTTTCATTCCTTATCTTGAAAATGCTTGTCTCTTTTTCTGCCATGGCTTTCTACCTTGCTTGATATATTACAATTTTGTAACCTGCTTATTTCATCATATGTCATAAGTTCACATGTATATCCCATGAATTATTGAGGGTCTTATTCATTTCAAGTGGCATTTAGGTTTTTAAAAATATCTTTTGGCGACCAGGTGCAGTGGCTCATGCCTGTAATCCCAGCACTTTGGGAAGCCAAGGCAGGTGGATCACGAGTTCAAGAGACAGAGATCATCCTGGCGAACATGGTGAAACCCCGTCTCTACTAAAAATACAAAAAAAAAAAAAAAAATAGCTGGGCATGGTAGAGGGTGCCTGTAGTCCCAGCTTCTCAGGAGGCTGAGGCGGGAGAATGGCATGAACCCGAGAGACGGAGGTTGCAGTGAGCCGAGATCGTGCCACTGCACTCCAGCCTGGCAACAGAGTGAGACTCTGTCTCAAAAAAAAAAAAAAAAGAAAGAAAGAAAGGAAGAAAAAAAAATCTTCTGGCATTAACTATTAAGAAATTGCACTATAAAAAGAGAATATAATGCATAAGACGGCAATTTGAAAAGATTCAGATATAATTTTTTCTTATCTAGTAAATACTTAGTAATTTGTCTAATGCATGCCTTAAATACATACCACTTTATGCAGAGGTTGCCATGAGCCGAGATCGCGCCGTTGCACTCTAGCCTGGGTGGCAGAGCAAGACTCCATCTCAAAAAAAAAAAAGAAAATCTCACAGAAGGAGACCCAGAGCTTCCAGCCTCGCCCAGAGTCTTGGCTCACTCCCTGTGTGTGTGGACCCTAGGGAGCCTCTTCTGTTCCCCACAGAGGTGGAAACTTCCTCCTTAATAACCCCTTGATGGTCCCAGGCACTGGTGACCACTGAGCTTTGCTCTCTCTTTTTTCTTATGGTTCCCTGTCTACTTCCAGGGCTATCACTTTACTTTTTGTGCATTAGACCATGAATAATGTTTTAGAAACATTCTATCAAATTTCTCAGTGCTAGGAACAACTGAGGTTTTTGATTGGGTGCCTCAAATGTCTACCCTTACTGTGGAGTCCGACAACAGGATTCTAACAAGTCCCAACCCCTTCATGCCTTAACCTGGTCTGGAAATAAATTATGTTTAAGCCATCCCATACCCCAGCCACATCAAGCCCCACAACCACTCTGAGAAGTGAGATTTATAGCAAAATGCTCCAAACAAGGTAACTAAGGTTCAGACAAGGGATGTTAATGTGTCCATTTACATAAACAAAAAATGGTAGATGATCAGCTTTCCCTTTGAAATCAGAGTACTAATCTGACTCATTGTTCCCTGAATTTTAGAGGCAGGACCTCAGGAGGAGCTAAGAATCCTACCCCAGGAAAATTACCAATATCAGAAAGGAAACAATGACATCAGTACAGATCCTACAGAATTCAAAAGATTCTAAGTGGACATTATGAAGACATTATTCAGCTTAGATGAAGTGGTCACATATCACAAGAAAACAAACTGTCTAAAACAATCTCTGAAATACCTAGACATTCCCTGAATCATTGAGTTATTAAATAAAATACATTTTAAAATTAAACTCTTTTCAGGAAATAAACTTCAATGTCCCCTAGTGCACTCTCCAAAACATGTAGATGGGAATAAATACTGTTCTGAAAGACATTTCCCTGGAATTACAACCATTCAATATATTTTAAAAGGCAATCATAAAAATATAAAAAGGATATATCAGGAGAAGAAATGTAAATGGCCTAAATTCCCCACATAAAAGGCATAGAGTGGCAACGTGGATAAAAAGCCAAGAGCCAACTGCCTGCTGTCTTCAAGAGACCCATCTCACATGTAATGACACCCACAGGCTCAAAGTAAAAGGATGAAGAAATATTTACTAGGCAACCAGGAAACAAAAAAAAGGAAGGCATTCCTATTCTTATATCACATGAAACACACTTTAAATCAACAGCAATCAGGAAGGACAAAGAAGGGCATTACAAAATGATAAAGGGTTCAATTTGACAGAAGACTTAACTATTCTAAATATATATGCACCCAAATTTGGAGCACCCCGATTCATAAAACAAGTTATTCTTCACCTATGAAAAGAGTTAGACAGCCACACAATAATAGTAAGGGACTTCAGTATCCCACTAACAACGTCAGATGAATCACTAAAACAGAAAACTAACAAAGAAATTCTGGTCTTAAAGACAACACTTGACCAATTGGACCTCATAGACATCTACAGAGTACTCCACCCAACAACTGCAGAATATAGATTCTTCTTATCTGCACACACAAAAAACATATCATATTCTAAGACTGGCCACAAAGCAAGTCTCAATAAATTCAAAGAATCAAAATCATAACAAGGCACACAATAAAAATAGAAAAAAATACCAAGATGATCTCTCAAAACTACAGAAAAACATGGAAATTTAACAACTTGTTTCTGAATGAATATTAAGAGCCATCTATGACAAATCCACAGCCAACATCATATTGAATGGTCAAAAGCTGGAACTGTACCCCTTGAGAACTCTTGGGTGAACAATGAAATTAAAGCAGAAATCACAAAACATTATTTAAAATTAATAAAAATAGAAACAAACTTACCAAAACCTTTGGGATGCAGTTAAAGCAGTGATAAGAGGAAAATTTATAGCAATACATGCCTCATCAGAAGTTTAGAAAGATCTCAAATTAGTGACTTAACACTGCATCTAGAGGAACTATTAAAAAAAAGGAACAGTCCAAACCCAAGGCCAGCAAAAGATGAGAAATAACTAAAGTCAGAGAGAACTGAATAAATTGAGACCAAAAAGTCCATACAAGAGATAAATAAAACCAAGAGTTTTTCTTTGAAAAAAAATAAACAAAATTCATAGACTGTTAGCTAGATTAACAAAGAAAAAGAGAAAAGATCCAAATAAACACAAATAGAACTGACAAAACAATGTTACGAACAATCCCACAGAAATAGAAAAGATCGTCAAAGACTATTATGAACACCTCTATACAAACAAGCTAGAAAACCTAGAAGAAATGGATAAATTCCTGGTAACACAAAATTTATCATATTTCAACCAGGAAGAAAGTGAAAACCTGAACAGACCAATAACAAGTTCAGAAATTTAATCAGTAATAAAAACCCTACTAACTAAAAATAGCCCAGGACCAGATGGATTCACAGCCAAAATCCAACAGCCATACAAAGAAGAACTGATACCGATCTTACTGAAACTTTTGGAAAAAATCAAGGAGTGGGGGCTTCTTCCTAACTCATTCTATGAAGCCATCATCACCATGATACCAACATCTGTCAGAGACATAATGAAAAAAAGAAAACTACAACTAAATATCCTTAATGAACATAGACATAAAATCCTCAACAAAATGCTAGCAAATTGAATCTGTCAGTGCATCAAAAGTTAATTCACATGATCAAGTAAGCTTTATTTTTGGGATGCAAGGTTGGTTCAACCTACAAAGTCAACGAATGTGATTCACCTCATAAACATAATTAAAAACAAAAACTATATGATCATCTCAATAGATGCAGAAAAAGCTTTCTGTAAAATCCAACATCCCTTCATGATAAAAACTGTCAATAGGCATCAAAGGAACATACCTCAAAATATTAAGAGCCATCTATGACAAACCCACAGCCAACATCATATTGATGGGCAAAAGCTGGAACCATACCCCTTGAGAACCGAAACAAGACCAGGATGACCACTCCCGCCATTTTAATTCAACATGGTACTGGAAGTCCTAGCCAAAGCAATCAGGCAAGAGAAGGAAATAAAAGGCATTAAAATTGGAAAAGAAGTAGTGATACTGTCTCTCTTTGCTGATGAAATAATTTTATACATAGAAAACCCTAAAGACTCTGTCAGAAGGCTCCTGAAACTGATAAACAAATTCAATAAAGTTTCGGGATTAAAAAAATGTACACAAATTAGTAACATTTCTATGCACCACTAACATTCTAGCTGAGAACTAAATCAAGAACACAATTCCATTTACACTAGCCACAAAGAAAATAAAATACCTAGGAATCCATCTAACCAAGAAGGTGAAAATTCTCTACAAGGAGAACTACAAAACACTTCTGAAAGAAATAAGAAATGATACAAACAAATGGAAGAATATTCCATGCTCATGAATTAGGAGAACAAATAGTTAAAATCGCCATACTTCCAAAAACAAATTGCAGACTCAATGCTATCCATTTCAAAATGCAATGTCATTTTTCACGAAATTATAAAAATTTATTCTAAAATGTATTTGGCACCAAAAAAAGAGCCTGAATACACATAGGAATCCTAAGCACAAAGAACAAAGCCCAGGCATCACATTACCCAACTTCAAACTATACTACAATGCTATAGTAACCCAAACAGCATGATACTACTACAAAAACAGACACATAGACCAATGAGACAGAATAGAGAACCCAGAAATGAGGCTACATACCTACAATCATCTTTGAAAAAATTGACAAAAACAAGCAATGTGGAAAGTACCCTTTCTTCAATAAATAGTTCTGGGATAACTGACTACTCATATGCAAAATAATAGAACTGGACCCCTAACTCTCACTATATACAAAAATTAACCCAAGATAGTTTAAAGATTTAAATGTAAAACCTCAAAATATTAAAATTCTAGAAGAAAACCTAGGAAATATCCTTCTCAAGATAGACTTTGGCAAAGAATTTATGGCTAACTCCCCAAAACCAATTGTGACAAAGACAGAAATTGGGACCTAACTCAACTGAAGAGCTTCTGCACAGCAAACGAAAGTATCAACAGAGTAAACAGATAACCTACAGACTGGGAGAAAATATTTGCAAACTATGCATCTGACAAAGTTCTAATATCCAGAATCTATAAGGAATGTAAACAAATCAACAAGCAGAAAACCAAAAAACCTCAATTAAGTATGACATGAACAGACACTTCTCAAAAGAAGATGTACACATGGCCAAAAAACATATGAACAAATGCTTATTATCAGTAATCATCAGAGAAATGCAAATTAAAACCACAGTGAGATACCATCTCACAACAATCAGAGAAGCAGAAGCAATTACTAAAAAGTTTTTTGTTTTTTTTAATAACAGATGCTGACAAGATTGTGGAGAAAAGGGAACACTTATACACTCTTGGTGGGAATGTTAACTAGTTCAGCCAATGTGATAAGCAGTTTGGAGACTTCTCAAATAACTTAAAATAGAACTACTATTCAATCAAGCAATCCCACTACTGGGTATATACCAAAAGGAAGGTAATTAACTATGTCAAAAAGACACATGCACTAGTATATTCATTGCTGTGCAATTCAGAATAGCAAAGATTTGCAGTCAACCTAAGTGCTCACCAACAGTGGATTAGTTAAAGAAAATGTGCTACATATACACATGGAACATTACATGGCCATAAAAAATAATGAAATCATGTCCTTTGCAGCAACATGAATGTAGCAGGAGGTCAATCTCCTAAGTGAACTAACCCAGGAACAGAAAACCAAATACCACATGTTATCACTTATAACTGAGAACCAAACATTGAATACACATGAACATAAAGATGGAAACAACAGATACCGAGGACTACAGATGGGGGGAGGAGTAGGGAGGTATAGGCTGAAGAAACACCTGTTGGATTCTATGCTCATTGCCTGGGTGATGGCATTGTTGGAACCACAAACCTCAGAGTCACACAATATGCCTATGTAACAAACCTGCATGCATACCTTTAATCTACAGTAAAGGTTGAAGTTATTTAAAAATAGGAAGAAGAATTACCCTATACCTAAAGCTAAGATTTTTCCCTTTGAATATTCGTTTCTTCATCACTGTAGATAAGCAGGGAAAGAAAAATTATTATACTATACTAGCCTTTTATGTGACCATGAGGATTTGGGGTAGGTAGGTGGACAGCTTAGATAATTCACCAGGATATTGATACAGGCTCCATGGCTGGAAATAACCAAGGATGAGTGCTGTGTTTTGAGTGGTCTCCCCCAGAAACGTTTGTTGAAATCCTAACCCCTGGTATGTATGAATGTGAATTCATATTATATAAAAAGGAATAAATAGCCTGAGCACAGTGGCTCACACCTGTAATCCCAGCACTTTGGGAGGCCAAAGCAGGTGGATCATTTGAGGTCAGGAGTTCTGGCCAATATGGCAAAACTTCATCTCTACAAAAAAAAAATACAAAAAAAAAAATTGGCTGGGTATGGTGGCGCATGCCTGTAGTCCCAGCTACTCAGGAGGCTGAGGCAGGAATTGCTGAAACCTGGAAGGCAGAGGTTGCAGTGAGCCAAGATCATGCCACTGCACTCCAGCCTGGGTGAGACGGCAAGATATTCTGTCAAAAATAAATAAATAAAAAACAGAAGAAGAAATACAAGAATGACAGCAAACTTTGTATTCAAAACTATGAAAGTAAGAAATAGGTGGACCAACATTTTTAAAGTGCTACAAGAAAATATTTCAAACTAGAATCTTTCAACCTGAAAAGGAAAACATTTTCCTGCAATAAAGGTGCCATTAAAAATGTCTCACAATTTATTACATGAAGCATTGTTCTACAATAAATGTTAAGCTCTTGAAGCAAAGATTAATGATACCATTTAGTAACTTGAAATTCAAAAAAGTGGAAGTATCCCAAGAGGCAAATACGTGTGCAATTATTAAATGTTTCATATCAACACCCAACCTTATGCTGTCTACATAAGCTGCACTTCAAATACTAATCCACAAGATGTAAATATTGAAAGAATGACATTACATTGTCATGATAATGCCCAGTGCAAAATATGCTTCTAGTCAGTTGTATACATAGAATAGGTAAATGTTTGTAATAAAAAGTATTCCTCAATAGAAGTTTCTTAACTCAAAGAATGAAATATTTCACCATGCACATACAAAGAAGAGATATATGGAGATATGAAGAGGAGTACTTCATAATGACAAAGAGGCAAATTCATAAATAAGACATAATAATCCTAAATGCCTACACACCTAAAGCTGGAACCTCAAAACACATTAAATTAAAGGCATAATTCAAAACATAATCAATCACATCCAAATTGCAGCTAGAGATAGCAACATTCACCTCACTTCCAGAACAAGTACACAGAAAATTATTAAGCATATGAAAGACTTGAAAAACATTTGTGTAGGCGGCGGGTGCATAAGGTTGGGTGTTGATATGAAACATTTAATAATTTCAATAATCCTAGCACTTTGGGAGGCCAAAATGGGAGGATCACTTGAGGCCAGGAGTTTGAGACCAGCCTGGGCACCATAGTGAGACCCCGTCTCTATTTTTTTTAAATAAAGAAAAACATTTGAATGATTTTTTTCTTAACTGACATTTAGAAAACATCCACCTCAAATCTTCCTAATCCACAAACTTGTCTAGCACCCCTGGAACATTCACCAAAATAAATTTTTAAATGCTGAATCATAGGTAATATGATAGATGAAACAGTTGAATTAAATTATAAATGTACAACAAGGAAATGCTGGGGAAATTATCAAATATTTTAAAATTAATAAACACACATAGCAATAAACAATGAGTGGAAGAAAAACATTTCAAAGAAAGGTGGAAAATATTTTGTATCAATTAAAAATGAAAACACATCTCGGCAAATGACTGGGGATACAGATAGAACAGTGTTAAAGGAAAATAAGCCTCAAATGTCTGTGTTAGAAAAGAAGGAAGAGCTGAGTAAATAGGTAACTTTCGCTTGCAGAAATACTACACATCAGCAAATTAATTCCAAAGTAACGTCGAGGAAAAACATAAAATGGCAAGCAAATATATACGTGCATATGTACGTATATTCATAAATGACAAACAGGACAGAAAAATCAGTGACATCAATTTTGTTCCTTAGAAGAAACAGGAAAATTGACCCCAAAAAACTTTCCAGGCCACATTTGGTCATGATGGAAATATTTTGGCACTTCCTGGTTAAGCTCAACACCAACTTGCACCCAAAACCAATAATTTCATTCCTAGGTAAATATGTCTAATTAATTCAGCATATGTATGCAAGGGATCACACAGAAACACGATTATCAAGGCCCGAGTTATAAAAGAGAAAATCCGGAAACAACACAAATGTCCATGATAAAAAGAGTGGATAATTACATGTTGATAAAGTTATGTATGGACTATTAAACTGCAATCCAAAAGAATAAAATAGAACTATAAAATTCAATATGTATATGGTGTCATAGAAACACAAATGTGAGAAAAAGAAAGAAAAATACAAAATTTATATTTTTTAAAATTTGAAACAACTATATATGTGAGTGCTTAGGGTGTGTGTGTGTGTGTGTGTGTATAACCATATGTATATAAACGCACACATACGCACACATATAGAATGTCCCGGCCAGGCATGGTGGCTCACACCTGTAATCTCAGCACTTTGGGAGGCTGAAGTAGACAGATCACTTGAGGTTAGGAGTTCAAGACCAGCCTGGCCAACATGGAGAAACCTCCTCTCTACTAAAAGTACAAAAATTAGGTGGGCGTGATGGTGGGTGCCTGTAAATCCAGCTACTTAGGAGGCTGAGGCACGAGAATTGCGTGAACCTGGGAGGTGGAGGCTGCAATGAGCCGAGGTCTCACCACTGCATTCCAAACTGGGTGACGAAGTGAGATTGCGTCTCAAAAAAAAAAAAAGTTCTAAAAGTTGTGACTTGGGTGTGGCAGATTGTGACATACTGCCAGCTGCTAGAAATGCTGGGGCAGGAGGATTGCTTGAACTCTGAAGTCAAAGAACAGCCTGGGGAAAATAGCACATGAAGAAGAGTTTGAATCTCAGATAAAAACAACAAAAATACATCAAAAGTCTTTAATGTAAGCCAAGCATTCAGTCATCTCCTGTATGAGAGATTGGATCTGAGACGTGTTTTGAGTTGGTTATAGTGAAGGATGCAAGGTGTCAATTCTAGTTGGAACAATTTCCAGGAAGCCATGTTCCGCTCTTGACCAAACAGCCACTGGGCCTCATGCAAGGTAGAAATAGCCTGCATACGTCATCCTCCCATGATGTGGTCAGCATGTAAACTGCATGAGCCCCTCACAACATCCTGTGTGCTGCTGAACTGAGCTGGGGCGCAGCCGCCTGTCTGCACCGGCAGCACCATGTCGCTCATGGTCGTCAGCATGGCGTGTGTTGGTGAGTCCTGGAAGGGAATCGAGGGAGGGAGCGCTGGGGTGGAGATCTGGGCCTGGAGTGGAGATCTGGGCCTGGAGTGGAGATATGGGCCTGGAGTGGAGATATAGGCCTGGAGTGGAGATATGGGCCTGGGGTGGAGATATGGGCCTGGAGTGGAGATATGGGCCTGGAACTGTAGATATGGGCCTGAAGTAGAGATATGGGCCTGGAGTAGAGATATGGGCCTGGAACTGTAGATATGGGCCTGGAGTGGAGATATTGGCTTGGAGTGCAGATATGGACCTGGAATTGAGATACGGGCCTGGAGGTGGAGATATGGGCCTAGAGTGGAGATATGGGCCTGGAGGTGGAGATATGGGCCTGGAACTGTAGATATGGGCCTGGAGTAGAGATACGGGCCTGGAGTGGAGATGTTGGCTTGGAGTGCAGATATGGGCCTGGAATGGAGACACGGGCCTGGAGGTGGAGATACAGGCCTGGAGGTGGAGATATGGGCCTGGAGTGTAGATATGGGCCTGGAGTAGAGATATAGGACGGAGGTGGAGATATAGGCCTGGAGTGGAGATATGGGCCTGGAGTAGAGATATAGGACGGAGGTGGAGATATAGGCCTGGAGTGGAGATATGGGCCTAGAGGTGGAGATATGGGCCTGGAGTGGAGATATGGGCCTGGAGGTGATGTACAGATGGATCATCCATCATGATCTTTCTTTCCAGGGTTCTTCTTGCTGGAGGGGCCCTGGCCACATGTGGGTGAGTCCTTCCCCCAAACCTTAGGTTGTCATCTCCCCACATAAGATGATGCTCCTGAAACGGGAGGCAGGCGACACAGGGGGTTGACTGATGGGCTGACCATGGGAAGCCATGTGGGAATCTCTCATGAACTAGGAAAAGGAAGCCAGGGGAAGCTTCGCCACAGTTCTGTCCTAGCCCTCCCCGGCCTTTCTTTCCCTTGGCTGAGTCTGTGGGGACCCAGGGGGAGACTGAAGTGCTCAAAGGAGTGGTGTGCAGGGAGGAAGTGGTGTCACCGGCAGAGGAAGGGAGAGAAGCAGTGCAAGGAACAACAGGCCTCTGAGGACAAGAGCATAACTCACACCCTCCAGCGTTTCCATGACGGTAGGGGCTGCAATGTGGCTGCTGTCATTCTACCTAAGAGGTGGGGGAACCACAGTCATGACCCTGACATTCCAGATCTTCTAATAGGGGCTCAGTTGTTTATTATGGTTCATGCATTAGCTGATCATGCCCTCCATCCTGTGTCTACCTTGTGTTCTTTTATGTAAGTAATTTTGCAGTGTTAAAATCTAGTAAGAGTCGCTTCTTCAGCACCTGCTCAAAGTTCTCAGCTGACACTTGCTGTAGGGAGACGCCATGTCTATGCGGGATGGGTCCTTCCTGTAGCCCTGGGCACCCAGGTGTGGTAGGAGCCTTAGAAACGTGGAAATGGGAGAATCTTCTGAGCACAGGGAGGGAGGGGCGGCTCCACATCCTCCTCTCTAAGGTGGTGCCTCCTTCTCCCCCAGGTGGTCAGGACAAGCCCTTCCTCTCTGCCTGGCCCGGCACTGTGGTGTCTGAAGGACAACATGTGACTCTTCAGTGTCGCTCTCGTCTTGGGTTTAATGAATTCAGTCTGTCCAAAGAAGACGGGATGCCTGTCCCTGAGCTCTACAACAGAATATTCCGGAACAGCTTTCTCATGGGCCCTGTGACCCCAGCACATGCAGGGACCTACAGATGTTGCAGTTCACACCCACACTCCCCCACTGGGTGGTCGGCACCCAGCAACCCTGTGGTGATCATGGTCACAGGTCAGAGGCTTTCTGTCTGGGCTTCTCACTGTCCCACCTCCTGAATCCCAGAGCTTCTGGTGGGGGCGTCCATCAGGGTCCAATCATCCAGGCCCCGACTGTATTTGGGGTAAAGGGGGATTCAGTACAGAGAAATAGTTGCTGTGGTGGGAAGAATAATTGTCCCCAGTGATGGCTACATGGTAATCCATGAACCCTGTGACTATTTATGTTATAGGGCAGGGGACTGAAGAGGAAGATGGAGCTCAGGTTGTTGATGAGTTGACCTTGCGATGGGGAGACAGCCTGGACTGTCCTGCTGTGCTCAGAGTAATCACAAGGGTCCTCATGAGAGGAGGAGGAAGAGGAAAGTGGGGTTAGAGCAACGTCGTGGGAGGGAGACTCCATCAGCCACAGCGGGCTTTGAAGATGGGGGAAGGCCATGAGCCACAAAGGCAGGTGGCCTCTAAGGGCTGGAGAAGTCAAGGGAACTGATTCTTCCCTGAGTCTCCAGAGGAAACACAGCCCTGCAGATGCCTTGATTTTAGCCCAGAGAGAACTGGGTCCGATTTCTGTTCTCCAGAAGTGGAAGAGGTCATTGTATTCTCTCCTGCCCCATGTTTGTGACAATTTTCTCCAGCAGCAACAGGAAACCAACACAGGAACCCAGGTGAAGCACAGGTTAAGAAACCAAACAAGGAGAAGGTTGGCTACACTGATTTTAGCATGGGTGGGATACTGATGCTACCACCAGGCTCGATCCACATAGGGAGGGGTTGATGCTCCTGGAACCAGCACCAGGGGCCACCCTATGGAAGCTGGGGCCATGGAGAAGGCACAGACATGAAAGGAGAGGCTCCCAATCCCCATCAGGAACAGGGACACTGATGCCTGCCTTACTGATGAGTTCGTACCTCCTGCCGGCCTTTCCAATCTGTCCAAAAGAGATTGATTCAGGCTGCTAAGAGCCTGGACATGCAGCCTGTCATGGTTCCTCTTCCACCCCCACATAAACACCAGGAAAGAGATTAGTGGGAAACAGATACAACAGCATAAGAGGTGACACTGAGCACAGTGGGAAGGGAATCAGGGCTACTAGAGACAGAGAGACAGGGAAGAGGGAGGGAGACAGATGGAGGGACCTGCAACAGGGGTTATGGGCACAAAAGAACACGGAGACACAGAGAGGAAGGAGAGAGATAGACACCATGGAGGGGAAGCCTCACTTATTTCAGGTCCCATGAATGGGATGAGAAAGGGAGACGCCTTCTGAACTCACAACCTCTCTTCTTAGGAGTCCACAGAAAACCTTCCCTCCTGGCCCACCCAGGTCTCCTGGTGAAATCGGGAGAGACGGTCATCCTGCAATGTTGGTCAGATGTCAGGTTTGAGCGCTTCCTTCTGCACAGAGAGGGGATCACTGAGGACCCCTTGCGCCTCATTGGACAGCTCCACGATGCGGGTTCCCAGGTCAACTATTCCATGGGTCCCATGACACCTGCCCTTGCAGGGACCTACAGATGCTTTGGTTCTGTCACTCACTTACCCTATGAGTTGTCGGCTCCCAGTGACCCTCTGGACATCGTGGTCGTAGGTGAGAGAATACAGACCTGCCTCTCACCCTTGCTGGGAGATGGAGTGAATGATCTAGGACTGGAAGCCCCAGGTGGTCATGAGGAAGATGAGTGTGGGGTTCCTATGGAGAGAAAGTGACTTGGTGAGGTCTGTACCAACAAAGGCAGAGAAACAGGAGACACAAGTACAGACCTCATGTCATAACATAGAAGCCAGACACAGGGGCCATACAAGGTGTTAGAAAAAGAGATAAAGAGGTAAAGAAGACACAGAGAGACAGATATATCCCAGAGAGAGGTGTCCTTCTATGCTGACTTTGTTCAGAGACCAGGCACAGGTTAGAAGGTTCCATTCTGTTTTACCTCTACAAAGTGTTCTCTCCCAGGAGAACCCAAAGAGACACATCTATCTGGCCTGAGTTGGGCCGTGTGGCCCCAGGCTGGTGGCACCTACAGATGCTGTGTTTATTCTTAAACCTCTGCCTTCCGTGCAGTGGAGCTGTCGTCGTCGCAGGACACCATGGCCCCAGGTGAGGGAGCAGAACACCAACCCCTGTATGTTGTGAGTTCCTGGAGTCCCCATACTGGATTCTGAGGCTCATATTCAAATAGCACCACATGTTATAGGATTACTGAGAACAAAAGCCCACAGAGAGACACGGAGTGAAATCAGGGAAATCAAAAAGCAAAGACATGAACACACACACAGAATGAGCCAGAAGAAGGGAATTGAGAGACTCACAGACACATAAAGAGATAGAAAAAGAGGGCAGAGAAGTGGAGCGTATGATGGAAGGAAGCAGAGAAAAGCCCTAAAATCAGAGCCCTGAGGGAGGGGCACAAAGACAGGGAAAGATAAAGATGTGGGGATGGATTGCAGAGACTCCAAAAGGGAACTAGAGAGACTGAGAGGCAGAGAAAGACAAGGAGATGGAGAGAGACAGATGATAGATGGATAGATAGATATAGATAGATGAAAGATAAAAGGTAGATGATAGATAATAGAGAGACAGGTGATAGACAAATAGATGATGAATGACTGATAGATGATATAGATAGACAAGTAGAAAGACAGACAGATGATATATAAATAGATATAGAGAGATAGAAAGATAAACACATGATGATAGATGGATAGATGCATACATACATACATTGATTGATAGATGATAGATAACAGAGAGATAGGTCATAGATACACAGATGATGATAGATGATAGATACATACATAGATAAATGATAGATCGATCAATAGATAGTAGATAGAAATATGCAGAAAGTTATGAGCAAGACAGAAAGTGAGAGACTCAGAATTAAAGAAAGAGGAAGATCAAGTCAACCAGTCCAAGGAGGGTCAGAGAGAATAAAATGGTACAAAAAAAGAAAACATAGCTAGGGATGGAGAAGTGAGGTCAGAGACCTAGAGAGACAGAGAAGGTGGAAGGAGGAAATAGACATGAAGAGAGATGGGGGTGGAGGGTGAGAGAGAGAAAGAGAGCATTAAGTCATAGAGCAGGGGAGTGAGTTCTCAGCTCAGGTGTGAGGAGAGCTGTGACAACGAAGAACCTCCCTGAGGAAACCACCTCTTCTCCTTCCAGGTCTATATGGGAAACCTTCTCTCTCAGCCCAGCCGGGCCCCACGGTTCAGGCAGGAGAGAATGTGACCTTGTCCTGCAGCTCCCGGAGCTTGTTTGACATTTACCATCTATCCAGGGAGGCAGAGGCCGGTGAACTTAGGCTCACTGCGGTGCTGAGGGTCAATGGAACATTCCAGGCCAACTTCCCTCTGGGCCCTGTGACCCACGGAGGGAACTACAGATGCTTCGGCTCTTTCCGTGCCCTGCCCCACGCGTGGTCAGACCCGAGTGACCCACTGCCCGTTTCTGTCACAGGTGAGAAAACACCATGCCTGTCCCATGTCTTGTGATCCTAGAGCCATAGCTGAGGAGCTTCCTGCTGATGATGGAGAGAAGCATGGACAGATGCCGAGACAGAACACACAGCATGGGTGTAAGGGCGGGGTCAGGGGGCAGGATGGCAGACAGGGCACCTCCAAACCCTCCTGTATGGCCTGCAAGGAGGCCCTTGATCAGGGTTCCAGGCACCCAGGCAGATGGAGAAAGAGGTCAGAACAGACCCAGAGGAGGGAGACTGGGCTCTGCCTGGGGAGATCAGAGGTTCTCTCAGCCCCTCAACCTTACCCACTTCCCAGAAGCCCATCCTGGCCTGTCACCCACAGAGAGATGTCATCACCAGCAACGCCTACACCCTTTTCTTTTTGTTTGAAGAAATATTTATTGAGGTGAAATATACCTATGTAATTTACCACCTTTACCATTTTTAAGTGTGAAGTCTACTGTTCATAAATACATTTATAGGCTGGGCACGGTGGCTCACTGTTGTAATCCCAACACTTTGAGAGGCCAAGGCAGGTGGATCATTTGAGATCAGGGGCTCAAGACCACCCTGGCCAACATGGGGAAAATCCATCTGTACTAAAAATACAAAATAATAATAATAATGATAATAATTAGCCGAGCATGGTGGCACATGCCTGTAGTCCCAGCTACTTGGGAGGGTTGGGCAGGAGTTGCACTTAATTGCAGGAGGCGGAGGTTGCAGTGAGCTGAGATCATGCCACTGCACTGCAGCCTGGGCAACAGAGAGAGACACTCTCTCAAAATTAATTAATTAATTAATTAGTATTCTTTTTTTTTTACCCTCCACCCTTCCCTTCCTGGCCTCTGGTAGCCACCATTCTACTCTCTACCTTTGTGAGATCCACCTTTTAGCTCCTGCATATGAGTGAGAAATGGAAATACTTGTAATGACCTCCAGTTCCATTCATGTGGCTGTAAATGACAGGATGTTACTCTTTCTATGGATGAGTTGTCCCTATTGTGTGTGTGTACCACATTCTCTCCATCCATTCACCCACTGATGGGCAGGTAGGTTGATCCACATCTTGGCTACTGTGAACACTGCTGGAACAGTCATGGGAGTGCAGATGTCACTTCGATACGCTGATGTCCTTTCCTTTGGGTTTACACCCAGTCATGGAATTGCTAGATCCTCTGGAAGTGTCTTTTTACATTTTGTTTTATGGTTTTTGTTTTTGTTTTTGTTTTTTTTAGACAGTTTCACTCTTGTTGCCCAGGCTGGAGTGCAGTGGTGCCATCTGGGCTCACTGCAACCTCCACCTCCAGGATTCAAGAGATTCCCCAGCCTC
Organism: Homo sapiens; assembly: GCF_000001405.40. Lineage (NCBI taxonomy): Eukaryota > Metazoa > Chordata > Mammalia > Primates > Hominidae > Homo > Homo sapiens. Next base: position 168,030 of record NT_187684.1, on the reverse strand, counting down.
AGCCTCCCAAGTAGCTGGGTTACTGGCTCCCACCACCACACTCGGCTAATTTTTATATTTTTAGTAGAGACAGAGTTTCGCTATATTGGCCAGGCTGCTCTTCAACTCCTGACCTCAAGTGACCTACCCACCTCGGCCTCCCAATGTGCTGGGATTACAGGCATGAACCACTGTGCCCGACCTCATTTTATTTTTTGAGGAACTTCCATACTCTTCTCCTCTGTAATGGCTGTACTAATTTGCATTCGTATCAGCAGTGTACCAGATGCAACCCTGGTTGACTCAGCAGAGCAAGAGACGTGCAGTAAGAGAGAATTTAGCTTATTTATGCACACGACACTTCCACTCACTCACTCGTTCAGCCAATGCCCCATGCTCTGGCTGTGCAGTGTGGAATCTTTTCCTATTGTTGCCATAACAAATTTCCACAAGCTTCGTGGATGAAAACATGTTTTTCTTAATTATCTCACAGTGCTGTAACTCAGAAGTATGAACTGCATTTCACTGGGCTGATATCAAAGGGACAGTAAGGCTGGATTTCTTTTTAAGGTTCCAAGCAAGAATCTGCTCCTTAACGTTTCCCAGCTCCTAGAGGCTCCCACGTTCCTGGGCCCCTGGTCCCCTTCCTCCTTCCTCCTTCCTCAAAGCCCACAAAGGCTGGTCACGTCTCACATGGCATCATTCAGACTCTTCTTCTTTACCCATACCTTTTTCTCTGAATCCTGCTCTGCCTTCTTCCTCATCTTTTAAGGACTTTGGGATTCTATTGGGGTCACCAAGATAATCCATCTCAATCTCCCTAAAATCATCCAGCGTACCCTCTTTTTAAGTTCAGCTGATTAGCAACCGTAATGCCATCTGCAATCTTCATTCCTCCTTTCCTGTAAAATAACATATTCACAAGCTATGGAGGCTAAGACAGGGACATTTTGGGGGTGGGGCAGCATTCTCCTGCCTTCCACAAATGGTAAACAGGATGCATTTGGCCTCTGCTCTTGGGACGCTGATATTGCAGATGGGTAAATGCGAGGGCAGAGAATGAATGCACAAGGGTACCAATAAATGAATGATCCATTGGGAAGCATCTGTGCACCAAATCTGGGGTTTTTTGTGTGTGTGTGTGTTTTTTGTTTTCTTTTTTTTTTTTGAGTAGAGTCTCTCTCTGTTCCACAGGCTGGAGTGCAGTAGCACAATCTCAGCTCATTGCAACCTCTGCCTCCTGGGTTCATGCAATTCTCCTGCCTCAGCCTACCGAGTAGCTGGGATTACAGCTGTGCGCCACCACACTCGGCTAATTTTTTTGGTATATTTTTTAGTAGAAATGAGGTTTCACCATGTTGTGCAGGCTGTCTCAAACTCCCAATCTCAAGTGATCCCACCGCCTTAGCGTCCCTAAGTGCAAAGATTACAGGCGAGAGCTACTGCGCCCAGCCAGGATTTAAAATAAGTAATAGATAATGCTGAGTATATAATTTCAGGTGACAGAGAAGGTCTCACTGATCAGATAATATTTGTGACCTTAATGGAAAAAATGGATTCAACCCTTGGAAGATTGGCGGAAGGATTTTCCACACTGAGCTCTCAGCCGTGAAGGCACAAAGGTGGAAACATTCTTAGTTCAAGGAAGAGGCTCTGCCTCAAATGCTGGGAATGAGATGGGGAGAATGACAAGACAACTGTAGAGAGATGGAGAGCACACTGGGTACACAGGAAACTAAGGAGGAACAAGGAGCATGTTTTTGATACTCACAGCCCTTGGATTCAACTCAGAGCTAACTAGGAATCCCTACCTGATTAACAGTGACCGACATGAAAATAAGGGAGGCCCAGGTGCGTAACTGGAATCTAGGAGACCGTGGAAAAGGCAATTCCCGCCCCACTGGTGAAACGTAGGGTTGATTTACACACTAAATGAATGAAAGATGGATATAAGCTATGCTTGTGAGGTAGAATCATTTGCAGGGAGGGCTTGCTGGGTTTGATTTTTCCTAGTAGTTTAATCCTTGTTTCATTAATTTCTTTCTGAGATGTGTTTTTTTTCTACATCTAAATCAATACCTGGCAGAGGAGCGATAGACACATGAGGGGTGGTGCAAATGAAGGGACCTAGTATAATATAATATACAAGACTGTGGATGGGGGCTCACACCTGTAACCCAACACTTTGGGAGGCCAAGGCGGGTAGATCACTTAAGGGTAGGAGTTTGAGACCAGCCTGGCCAACATGGTGAAACCCCGTCTGTACTAAAAATACAAAAATTAGCCTGGTGCATTGGCACCTGCCTGTAATCCCAGCGACTGGGGAGGCTGAAGCAGAAGAATGGCTTCAACCCTGGAGGCAGAGGTTGAACTGAGATCGCATCACTGCACTCCAGCCTGACACAGGGGGACTCTGTCTCAAAAAATAAAAATAAAACATACATAATTATAATATGACACACAGAAATTACAAAGGCAACTGGATACCAACCATCATTTTTCTATTTCTCTGTGTTTAATTCTTTGACCCTTTATCTTATCCATTAAACAATCAGGTTAAACCTCTTCCTTATTTGGCTTTCTGTGAGCTTGGGATCATATGGAAAATGTGAAAGCCTCCTGAACCCACCAGCACAGGTCCTGGAATAGAGAACGTGCTCTGTTCATGGCATAAAACTTGCCCCTTCACCCAAATCCCCCAATTCATCTCTACTTCCAATCACCTATGGAGATACAGATAGATCATGGGGAGGTAAACACTGATACTCTTTGGAGTGAGCTCAGATCTTGGACTCAGAGACCAGTGCCAGCACTAGCCCCTGGTCACATTTCGTACTAACTCACAGAAGGACAGGCTGTATTGAAACAATAAACGACGGAGAGGGCGGTCCTTCCCCGTGCTTCTCGGGTGGAATAGCAGCCTAATTTATGTCTCAGCAGATCACAAAAAGTAGCATGTTGTTCCTGGGCTACATCATTATTTCATGGCTGTTTGATTTAAGTCAGTTCTACTTCACTTTTTTTATCTTGATTTCATTTTTTCTTTCTTTTCTTGGAGAATGTAATTTTTTTGAGTCAAGAGGGTTGTGGTGGTAGAAACTGTAAAGCACATTCGCTGTGTATCAATCCCAATCCAGTCTTCCCAGAGAAGATTCTAAACACCTCCTGGAATGCACCTGGGCCTATACCAATTCCTATCACTCACCGTCACTCCAGGGAGACAGAACACACAGAGAACACATTACACAGGCAGGTTCATTACTAACAGATAAGCAGCGAGTGACAACAGAAGCCTACATTTCAATGTGAGCCAGTCCCTCAAGGCTCAGAAAAGCTGCTCGAGACATGTGGAGTCACCCCATATGCAGTGTATCTGGGGGAAATCAAAAAGCAGCCCAGCCTGGGTTTTGTACCCTGGAGCCACAGGAAGCACTCAGCTAAAGCACTGCATGACATCCTCCTCCAGGAAGAACAGGAAGACAGCCCAGGCTGTTCTGGGATGTTCCTCCTGATCTCAGGACGTTGCTGTCTTAGTCCATTTTTGTTGCTCTAAAGGAACACTTGAGCCTGGGTAACTTCTAAAGAAAAGAAATGTGTTTGCCTCACAGTTCTTCAGGCTGTACTTGAAGCATGGCACCAGCATCTATTTCTTGTGACGGCCTCAGGCTGCTCCCACTCTGGCAGAAGGGAAGGAGGGTCTGTCTGTGCAGAGACCACAGAGATCACACGGCAAGAGAGGGAGCAAGGGGGAGGGGGAGCGATGGAGCTTCCAAGCTCTTTTTAACAACCAGTTCTCCAGGAACTAATAGAGGGGGAACTTGCTAACCCCGTCTCCTTGGGACAGCATTGATCTGTTCATGATGGATCCACCTCCATGACCCAAACAACTCCCAAGAGGCCCAACCTCCCACCCTGGGGGTTACATTTCAATGTGAGGTTTGAAGGGGTCAAACATCTAAACTAAAGCAGTTGTATCCTCAGCACGTTCTATGGTTACTACAACTGAGAAAGCAGGAGGAAGCTAGGTCTCCCGCCATCTGGGTGCTTGTCCTAAAGAGACGTTGTATGTGGTTACCTGTCAATCAAGAAATGTGAGACAATTCATATAGAGGAACTGCTATGATTAGCTTCTTATTGGTGTCTTGTCTTCCTCCAGGTAACTCCAGACACCTGCACGTTCTGATTGGGACCTCAGTGGTCATCATCCCCTTTGCTATCCTCCTCTTCTTTCTCCTTCATCGCTGGTGTCCCAACAAAAAGAGTAAGTCTCACGAAGCAGAAGCCAGAGAGCTCAGGGCCATGTGGGGAAGCAGGATGGGAGCACTCAGGTGTGTGTTCCTTACAGGCAGGATGGTCCCTGGCCCAAGGCAGGAGCCACAGAGGCAGGACTTTCTAGAGAGAGCACCAGACTCCCTGCCCCTGCCTTCAGCTCACAGACCATTGCCTGATTCTGAACTGTATCCTCATGTCCCCTGCAGCCACTCACATCCAGGAGAAGGTTCCATGACAGGCAGAAAGTGGGAGACAGAATCAATGGGATGGGAACTCAGAGCTATTCATGGGATGGGTCCTTGAGCTCAGAGAGATAGAATGTCTGAGTCTGCTGTTGGCAACTGAGGGACCTCAGGCACCTATGGCCTCCCCCTGTATGTTGGTATCTGCTTATGAAATGAGGACCCAGAAGTGCCCTCCGAGCTGTTTTGACGACTTCCGTCTTCTACAGATGCTGTTGTAATGGACCAAGAGCCTGCAGGGAACAGAACAGTGAACAGGGAGGTAGGTGCTCCTCAGCCCAGCCTCGTGGCTAGTCTTATTCCCAAACAGTCCTGAAAAATGTGAGCACCCTCCCTCACTCAGCATTTCCCTCCCTCCAGGACTCTGATGATCAAGACCCTCAGGAGGTGACATACGCACAGTTGAATCACTGCGTTTTCACACAGAGAAAAATCACTCGCCCTTCTCAGAGGCCCAAGACACCCCCAACAGATACCAGCGTGTAACACGGAACTTCCAAATGCTGAGCGCAGATCCAAAGTTGTCTTCTGTCCACCAGCACCACAGTCAGGCCTTGATGGGATCTTCTAGGGAGACAACAGCCCTGTCTCAAAACCGGGTTGCCAGCTCCCATGTACCAGCAGCTGGAATCTGAAGGCGTGAGTCTTCATCTTAGGGCATCGCTCCTCCTCACGCCACAAATCTGGTGCCTCTCTCTTGCTTACAAATGTCTAGGTCCCCACTGCCTGCTGGAAAGAAAACACACTCCTTTGCTTAGCCCACAATTCTCCATTTCACTTGACCCCTGCCCACCTCTCCAACCTAACTGGCTTACTTCCTAGTCTACTTGAGGCTGCGATCACACTGAGGAACTCACAATTCCAAACATATAAGAGGCTCCCTCTTAACACGGCACTTAGATACATGCTATTCCACCTTTCCTCATGTTGTTCCACCTTTCCTCAGACTATCTTTCAGCCTTCTGTCAGCAGTAAAACTTATAAATTTTTTTTATAATTTCAATGTAGTTTTCTATTCTTCAAGTAAACATGTCTGCCCTCATGGTTTCGTCAATGGGACTCTTTTCTTGACTAAGGCTTCCGGTGTTATCATTACCACGTCCACATAACCCCATCTGTTCTCCGCTGGGTTCTCACCCCTGGACTCTGAGCTTCTGGAAGCAGGGTGGAGCCTGAATTGTCTCTGAGACTCCAATTTCCATCCAAAGATGCAGCACATAGGAGGTTCCAAGGATGGTGAATCAGATGAACAAGTGATATTCTTACTCTCTGCAGATCTGGAAAGCTGGCAGAGTCATTCCACGATGAAACATTTGTAGAGTCATAGGCCTTGTTAGTCTCATCTCCACAGGGACACATATCAACACATCATCTTTCATACTACTATAAATAGACAGTCACTCCTCCATATCTCTGGGGTTTACACATGTTTATTGAATCAGCAATAAATCAAAAATATTTTGAGAAAAAAAATCCCCGAAGTTTCAAAAAGCAAAAAACTATGTTGAATCGACACAAATTGAGTGGCGTGTAGGCTGTGTCAGGAATTATAAGTAATCAAGAGATGATTTCATGTATACAGGAGGATGTGCATGGGTTCTATGCAATTGCTATGCTATTTTTTTTTTGAGACAGTCTCACTCTCTCACCCAGGCTGGAGTGCAGTGGCGTGATCTCAACTCACTGCAACCTCCGCCTTCCAGGTTCAAGCGATTCTCTTCCCTCAGCCTCCCCAGTAGCCTCCCCTAGGATTACAGGCACGTGCCACCCTGCACAGATAAATTTTTTTGTGTGTATATTTTTAGTAGAGACGGGGTTTCAGAATGTTGGACCAGCTGGTCTTGAACTCCTGACCTTGTGATCTACCCAGCTCAGCCTCCCAAAGTGCTGGGATTACAGGCGTGAGCCACGGTGCCCAGCTTCACTATGCCATTTCATGCAAGGGGCTTGAGCATCTGCAGATTTTGGTATCTGAATGGGGATCCTGGAACCAATCACGCAGGTATAGTGAAGGACCATGGTATATAATTTTTATTTGTCAATCTTAAAAATAAAGCATAAAAAATTTACAACAACAAGATAAAAAATAAGAAGTGTTTTTATAGTGTGAGGATAAGTTTAGATTTATTTTTTCCTACGTGTAACCCTATGGTCCTGTGTTATTTGTTGAGAAAATATTCTATTCCACCTTAAACTACATGGCAGCCTTTGTCAACTATAAAGGGACTGTGTATCCACAGATGTATTTTAGACACAGTTTTCTGTCCAGTGGTTCTCTGTATCCCCTCTCATGAGGATGCTGCATTTTATATAAACTTATAGAACCCCTTAAAATTTGGTAACCTGAGTCCTCTGATTTGTTATTATAGGTTATTTAGTTTGCTTTTTTTTTTTTCTTGAGACAGACTCTTCCTCTGTCACCCAAGCTGGAGTTCAGTGGCTTGAGCTCAGCTCACTGCAACCTCCGTCTCCCAGGTTCAAGCTATTCTGATGCCTCTGGTTTAGTACTAGAAACTCAAGCAGGAAAATTAGAATGGCTTCTTGTCACAATTACTCTGATAATGTTAATAATACCTGTTAGACATTTTGCACATTACATATGAAGAAGAGTTTGAATCTCAGATAAAAACAAAAATACATCAAAAATCTTTAATGTAAGCACAGAATTCAATCATCTCGTGTATGAGAGGTTGGATCTGAGACGTCTTTTGAGTCTGGTCGTAGTGAAGGACGCAAGGTGTCAATTCTAGTGAGAACAATTTCCAGGAAGCCGTGTTCCGCTCTTGAGCGAGCACCCACTGGGCCTCATGCAAGGTAGAAAGAGCCTGCGTACGTCACCCTCCCATGATGTGGTCAACATGTAAACTGCATGGGCAGGGCGCCAAATAACATCCTGTGCGCTGCTGAGCTGAGCTGGGGCGCGGCCGACTGTCTGCACAGACAGCACCATGTCGCTCATGGTCGTCAGCATGGCGTGTGTTGGTGAGTCCTGGAAGGGAATCGAGGGAGGGAGTGCGGGGATGGAGATCGGGGCCCAGAGTTGGAGATATAGGCCTGGAAGTGGAGTTATGGGCCTAGAGATGGAGTGATGGGCCTAGAAGTGGAGATCTGGGCCTGGAGTGGAGATCTGGGCCTGGAGTGGAGATATGGGCCTGGAGGTTGAGATATGGGCCTGCAGTAGAGATATGGGCTTGTAGTGGAGACATGGGCCTGGAGATGGAGATATGGGCCTGGAGATGGAGATATGGGCCTGCAGTAGAGATAGGGGCCTGGAGTGGAGATATGGGCCTGGAGTGGAGATATGGGCCTGAAGTGGAGATATGGGCCTGGAGGTGGAGATATGGGCCTGGAGGTGGAGATATGGGCCTGGAGTGGAGATATGGGTCTGGAGGTGGAGATACGGGCCTGCAGTAGAGATATGGGCCTGGAGTGGAGATATGGGCCAGGAGTGGAGTTATGGGCCTAGAGGTGGATATCTGGGCCTGGAGTGGAGATATGGGCCTAGGAAGGAGATATGGGCCTGGGTGTGGAGATATGGGACTGGAGAGGTGATATGGGCCTGGAGTGGAGATATGGGCTTAGGGTGGAGATCTGGGCCTGGGGCGGAGATATGGGACTGGATTGGAGATATGGGCCTAGGGTAGAGATCTGAGCCTGGATTGGCGATATGGGCCTAGGGTGGAAATATCAGCCTGGAGTGGAGATATGGGCTTGGGGTGGGGATCTGGGCCTGGAAACTGGGTCTCTGCACAGCCGGCAGCCCTGTTCTTGGGTGCAGGTAGGCACTGAGGGTGAGTTTACCTTCAGCCCAGGAAGGGCCTGGCTGCCAAGACTCACAGCCCAGTGGGGGCAGCAAGGGAGTCCTGGTTTGCCTGCAGATGGATGGTCCATCATGATCTTTCTTTCCAGGGTTCTTCTTGCTGCAGGGGGCCTGGCCACATGAGGGTGAGTCCTTCTCCAAACCTTCGGGTGTCATCTCCCCACATAAGAGGATTTTCCTGAAACAGGAGGGAAGTCCTGTCGGGGAGTCTCTCATAAACTAGGAAGAGAGGACCCTGGGGTGCTCAGCCCACATTTCTGACCTCGCCTCCCTGGCCTCTCAACCCCTTGGCAGAGTCAAGTTCTGTGGGGACCAGGGTTAGACTGGGGTGCTCAAAGCTGGGGTGTGTGGTTGGGAAGTGGTAGGAACAGCAGATCCTCTGAGGACAAAGGTGTTACTCACACACTTCAGCGTTTCCATGATGGTAGGGGCTGCAGTGTGGCTCCTGTCATTCTACCAGAAGAGGTGGGAAACCACAGCCATGGCCCTGACATTCCAAATCCTCTGATGGGGGCTCAGTTGTTTATTTTCATTCAGGCATCCGCTGATATCCATTCACAAAGGACATGCCCTCCACTTCATGTCTACCCTGTGTTGTTTTATGTGAGTAATCTTACAGTATTAAAATCTAGCAGGAGTCTCTTTACTCAGCACTTGCTCAAAGTTCTCAGCTGAGGCTTTTGCTGTAGGGAGACACCATGTCTTTGCGGGATGGGTCCTTCCTTCAGCCCTGGGCACCAAGGTGTGATACTAGCCATAGAAACGTGGAAAGCGAGGAGAATCTTCTGAGCACAGGGAGGGAGGGGCAGTTCCACATCCTCCTCTCTAAGGCGGCGCCTCCTTCTCCCCAAGGTGGTCAGGACAAGCCCTTGCTGTCTGCCTGGCCCAGCCTTGTGGTGCCTCTAGGACATGTCATTCTTCGGTGTCACTCTTATCTTGGGTTTAACAACTTCAGTCTGTACAAGGAAGGTGGGGTGCCTGTCCCTGAGCTCTACAACAGAATATTCTGGAACAGCCTTTTCATGGGCCCTGTGACCCCCGCACACACAGGGACATACAGATGTCGGGGTTCACACACACACTCCCCCAGTGGGTGGTCAGCACCCAGCAACCCCCTGGTGATCGTGGTTATAGGTCAGAGGGCTCCTCTCTTGGATTCTCTTGTCCCACCTCCTGAATCCCAGAGCTTCTGGTGGGCATGTCCTTGAGGGTCCCATCACGCAGGCCCTGACTGTATTTGTGGTAAAGGGGGATTGAATACAGGGAAATGGGTGCTGTGGTGGGAAGAATAATTGTCCCCAGTGATGACTACATTCTAATCCCTGGAGTCTGTGACTATTTATGTTATAGGTGAAGGGACTGAAGGGGAAGATGGAGCTCATGGGGAGACAGCCTGGACTGTCCCACTGGGCTCAGTGTAATCACAAGGGTGCACACGAAAGGAGGAGGAAGAGGGGAGTGGGGATTAGAGCAGTCCAGTGGAAGTCTTCACCAGCTTTGAAGGTGGAGGAAGGCCAAGAGCCATGAATGCAGGTGGCCTATAGAGGCTGGAAAAGTCAAGGAACTCATTCTCCAGAGTCTCCAGAGGGAACAAAGCCCTGCAGATGCCTTGATTTTAGCCCAGGAAAAATAGGGTCCAATTTCTGTCTCCAGGAGTGGAAGGTGTCAGTGTGCTCTCTCCTGCTGCCATGCTTCTGATAATTTTCTACAGCAGCAACAGGAAACCAACACTGGAACCCAGGTCAAGGACAAGTTAAGAAACAACCCAAGGAAAGCCAGGCATGGTGGCAGGTGCATGTAATCCTAGCGACTCAGGAGGCTGAGGGCAGGAGAATCACTTGAACCCAGGAAACAGAGGTTGCAGTGAGCCTAGACCACACCACTTCACTCCAGCCTGGGGGAAGGAGTGAGACTCTGTCTCCAAAATTAATTAATTAATTAAAGAAACCAAACAAGGAGAAGGTTGGCTACCCTGAGATCAGCAAGGGTGGGATGATGATGCCACCACCAGGCTCCATCCACATAGGGAGGGGTTGATACTCCTCCAACCAGCACCAGGAGCCAGCCTATGGAAGCTGGCACCATGGAGAAGGCACAGGCATGGCAAGAGTGTCTCCCAGTCCCCACCAGGAACAGGGTGTGTGGACACTGGTGCCTGCTTTATTCATCAGTTCATACCTTCTGCCAAGGATTGCAATTCATCCAAAAGAGATTGAACCAGGCTGATAAGAGCCTGGATGTGCAGCCTATCCTGGTTCCTCTTTCACCCCCACATAAACAGCAGGAAAGACATTAGTGTGAAATAGATACAACACCCCAAGAGATGAGGCTAAGCCCAGTGGGAAGGGAATCAGAGGCTACTAGAGACAGAGGAACAGAGAAGAGGGAGGGAGACAGATGGAAGGACCTGCACCAGGAGTTAAGGGCACAGAAAAGAACATGAAGACACAGAGAGGAAGGAGAGAGACAGACACCAGCAAGGGGAAGCCTCACTCATTCTAGGTGCCATGGATGGGATGATAAAGAGAGACACCTTCTAAACTCACAACCTCTCTTCCTAGGAGTCCACAGAAAACCTTCCCTCCGGGCCCACCCAGGTCCCCTGGTGAAATCAGAAGAGACAGTCATCCTGCAATGTTGGTCAGATGTCAGGTTTGAGCACTTCCTTCTGCACAGAGAAGGGAAGTTTAAGGACACTTTGCGCCTCATTGGAGAGCACCATGATGGGGTCTCCAAGGCCAACTTCTCCATCGGTCCCATGATGCAAGACCTTGCAGGGACCTACAGATGCTACGGTTCTGTTACTCACTCCCCCTATCAGTTGTCAGCTCCCAGTGACCCTCTGGACATCGTCATCACAGGTGAGAGTGTCCGGACATTCTCATTGTCATTGGGATGCAGAGTGAATGATCCATGACTTGGAACCCCCAGGTAGTTGTAAGGAAGATGAGCTTGGTATTCTTATGGAGAGAGACTGACTTGCTGAGGTTTGTACCAACAGAGACAGAGAAACAGGAGACACAAGTACAGACCAGGTGTCATAACAGAGGACAGACACAGGGGCCATACAGGGAGTTAGAAAAGACAGAAAGAGTTAAAAGAGACAGACAGACAGACATGTCCCAGAGAGAGGTGTCCCTCCATGCTGACTTTGCTCACAGACCTGGCACAGGTTAGAAGTTTCATTTCTGTTTTACCTCCACAAAGTGTTCTCTACCAGGAGAACCCAAGGACACCCATATTTATGACCTGAGTTGGGCCCTGTGGCCTCAGGCCTTGTGGCACCTACAGGCCATGTTTATTCTGACACCTCTGCCTTCCATGTAATGGAGAGTAACCGTCCCAGGATATCATGGCCCCAGAACACCAACCCCTGTATGCTGTGTGAACTTGTGGTCTCCAGACTGGATTCTGAGGCTCACATTCCAAATAACCCCACATATGAAAGGATCACTGAGAGGCACAGAGAAAAATCAGGAACACCAAAAAGCAAAGACATAAACACACAGAGAATGAGCCAGAGGAAGGAGATTGAGAGACTCACAGACACATAAAGAGAGAGAAAAGAGGGCAGAGGAGTGGTGAGAATGATGGCAGGGAGCAGAGAAAAGCACTAAATTTAGAGTCCTGAGAGAGAGGCACAAGGACATAGAAACATGGAGATGTGGGGATGAATTGCAGAGATTCCAAAGAGAGCTAGAGAGACCGAGAGGCAGAGCAAGACAGATGATAGATGGATAGATATAGATAGATGATAAATAGGTAGATGATAGATAATAGGTTAAAGATACATAGATGATGATTGATTGATTCATTAATAGATAATACATAGAGATGATGATGATGAAGACAGATAATACGTACAGATAGAGAGGCAGACAGAAATCATAGAGAGAGAGATGATACATACATATAAATAACAGATGATTGATGGATAGATAGACAAGTGATAGATACATAGATGATATATAGATATAGATGACAGGTAGAGAATTTGTAGATAGGCACTGAATAGATAAATAGATCGACAGATAATAGATAGAAATATGCAGAAAGTTATGAACAGGACACAACGTGAGAAACTTAGAATTTAAAAAAGTAACATCAAGTCAACCAATCCAAGGAGAGTCAGAGAGAATAAAACAATCCAAAAACGGAAAACATATCTAGAGGTGGGGAAGCGAGGTCAGAGACCTAGAGAGACAGAGAAGGTGGAAGAAGGAAATAGACATGAAGAGAGATGGGGTGGAGGGTGAGAGAGAGAGAGAGAGAGCATTAGGTCATAGAGAAGGGGAGTGAGTTCTCAGCTCAGGTGAAGGGAGCTGTGACAAGGAAGATCCTCCCTGAGGAAAATGCCTCTTCTCCTTCCAGGTCTATATGAGAAACCTTCTCTCTCAGCCCAGCCGGGCCCCACGGTTCTGGCAGGAGAGAGCGTGACCTTGTCCTGCAGCTCCCGGAGCTCCTATGACATGTACCATCTATCCAGGGAGGGGGAGGCCCATGAACGTAGGTTCTCTGCAGGGCCCAAGGTCAACGGAACATTCCAGGCCGACTTTCCTCTGGGCCCTGCCACCCACGGAGGGACCTACAGATGCTTCGGCTCTTTCCGTGACTCTCCATACGAGTGGTCAAACTCGAGTGACCCACTGCTTGTTTCTGTCACAGGTGAGGAAACCCCATATCTGTCTCATGTCCTGTGATCCTAGAGCCTTAGCTGAGGAGCTTCCTGCTGATGATGGAGAGAAGCATGGACAGATGCAGAGAGAAGACGAAGCTTGGGTGTGAGGGAGGGATCAGGGCACAGGATGGCAGACAGGGCACCTCCAAACCCTCCTACACGGCCTGCATGGAGGCCCGCGGCCAGGGCTCCAGGCACCCAGGCAGATGGAGAAAGCGGTCAGGAGAGACCCAGAGGAGGGAGACTGGGCTCAGTTTGGGAAGATCAGAGGTTCCCTCAGCCCCTCAACATTACCCGTTTCCCAGAAGCCCATCCTGGCCTCTCACCCACACAGGGATGTCATCACCAGCAACCCCTACACCCTTTACTTTTGTTTGAAGAAATATTTATTGAGGATAAATATACCTATATAGCTTACCACCTTTAACATTTTTTTTTTTTGAGGCAGAGTCTAGCTCTGTCCCCTATGCTGGAGTGCAGTGGCACAATCTCAGCTCACTGCAACTTCCGCCTCCTGGGTTCAAGTGATTCTCCTGCCTCAGCCACCTGAGTAGCTGGTGCTACAGGCGCGCACCACCACGCCAGGCTACTTTTTGTATTTTTAGTAGAGAGGTGGTTTCACCATGTTGGTCGAGCTGGTCTCCAACTCCTGACCACGTGATCCACCCGCATCTGCCTCCCAAAGTGCTGGGATTACAGGCATGAGCCACCACGCCCAGCCACATTTACCATTTTTAAGTGTAAAGTCTAGTGGTCATAAATACATTTATATATATATATATGTGTATATATATATACACACACATATATATACATATATATATATATATATATATATATATATATATATATATATATATATATATATTTTTTTTTTTTTTTTACCCTCCACCCTTTTCTTCCTGGCCTCTGGAAGCCACCATTCTACTCTCTACCTTCATGAGATCCACCTTTTAGCTCTGTATATGGGTGAGAAATGGGAATCTTTGTAATGACTTCCAGTTCCATCCATGTGGCTGCAAATATCAGGATGTTTTTCTTTCTATGGATGAGTAGTCTCCACTGTGCGTATGTACTACATTCTCTCTATCCATTCATCCACTGATGGGCAGGTAGGTTGACTCCACATCTTGGCTACTGTGAACAGTGCTGCACCAATCATACGAGTGCAGATATCACTTCGATATATTGATTTACTTTCCTTTGGATATAAACCCAGTAGTGAAATTGCTGGATACTATGAAAGTTCTCTTTTTAGTTATTCGTTTGTTGTTTTGTTTTTGTTTTTGAGACAGTTTCCCTTTGTGCCCAGGCTGGAGTACAAGTGACATCATCTTGGCTCATTGCAACCTCCGCCTCCTGGGTTCAAATGATTTTCCTGCCTCAGCCTCCCTAGTAGCTGGGATTACAAGTGCACGCCACCATGCCTGGCTACTTTTTGTTTTTTTTAGTATAGATGGGGTTTCCCCATGTTGGCTGGGCTGCTCTCAAACTCATGACCTCAACTGAGGTGCCCGCCTCGGTCTCCCAAAGTGCCGGGATTACAGGCATGATCCACCTCACCCAACCTCTTTTTAGTTCTTTAAAGGACTTCCACACTTTTCTCCGTAAAGGCTGTACTAATTTACACTCCTACCAACAGGGTATTAGGGTTCTCCTTTCTCTACCACTTTGGCAGGATTTCCTTTGCCTGTCTCGCAGCTAAAAGCCATTTTATTTTATTTCATTTTATTTTGAGATGGAGTTTCGCTCTTGTCACCCAGGCTGGAGTGCAGTGGTGCGATCTCGGCTCACCGCAACCTCCACCTCCCAGGTTCAAGCGATTCTCCTGCCTCAGCCTCCCGAGTAGCTGGAATTACAGGCACACGCCACCACGCCCAACTAAATTTTGTATTTTTAGTAGAGACAGTGTTTCTCCATGTGGGTCAGACTGGTCTCAAACTCCCTACCTTATGAGATTCACCCACCTCAGGCTCTCAAAGGTCTAGGATGACAGACGTGAGCCACCACGCCCGGCCTAAAAGCCATTTTAATGGGGTGAGATGAAAACTCACTTTGATTTTAATTTGCGTTTCTCTGATGATGAGTGAAACTGAGCACTTTTTAGTATGTGGGGAAATTTCATGTGTTTTGCTCCTTTTTCAATTAAATCATTTGTTTTATTGAGTTGTTTGAGCTTCTTATATTTCTAGTTATTAATCCCATCTCAGATGCATAGTTTGCACATATTTGCTCCCAATCTGTGGGTTGTCTCTTCACTTTGTTGGTTTATTTTTAGCGGTGCAGAAGTTGCTTAGCTTGAGGTAATCCCAATGGTCTATTTTTGCTTCGATTACTTGTGTTTTGAAGGTTTAAAACAAAATGTCTTCCTTCAGACAAATGTACTGGAGCATTTCCCCAATATTTTCTTCTATGTGTTTCATAGGTTCAGGCCTTAGACTCACATCTTTAATCCATTTTCATTTGATTTTTGTGTATAGTGACAGGTAGAGGTGCAGTTTCATTCCTCTGCATGTAGATGTCCAGGTTTCCCTGCACTGTTTATTGAAAAGACTGTCCTTTCCTGATTGTGAGTTCTTGGCACCTTTGTCAAAGTCCATTGGATGGGCTGGGCATGGTGGCTGACACCTGCAATTTCAGCACTTTGGGAGCCCAAGGCGGGTGGATCACCTGAGGCCAGGAGTTCAAGATTAGTCTGGCCGACGTGATGAAACATTGTCTCCACTAAAAATATATAAATTAGCTGAGCATGGTGGTCAGCACCTATAATACCACTACTCAGGAGTTTGAGGCCAGAGAATTGATTGAACCCAGGAGGCTGTGGTGGCAGTGAACCAAGATTGCACCTCTGCACTCCAGCCTGGGTGACAGAGCGAGACTCCATCTCAAAAGAAAAAAAGAAAAAAACATTGGATGTAAATGCATGGATTATATCTGTGTTGTTCATTCTGCTCCATTGTTCTATGTGCCTTTCTTTATGCCAATGTGATGCTGTTTTGCTTACTACAGCTCTGTAACATATTTTGAGATCAGGTAGTGTGATGCTCCTGTTTTCTCTTTATACCTTGAAGTCTCAAGACAGTGGGCGTCACATACAAAAATTACGGAAAAAAGGATCCCAGGACTCCCAGGGCCCAATATTAGATAACAGAGTGTTGGCCATGAACCAACCTCAAAGATTTCCATTGAGTAGAGGACAGACACCCTCATTTCCTCACCTCTCTCCTGTCTCATGTTCTAGGAAACCCTTCAAATAGTTGGCCTTCACCCACTGAACCAAGCTCCAAAACCGGTGAGTACAGAACCCTCTTATATCCGCTTTTGGAAACCTGGGGAGGTAGAAACCTTCGATGCAGGCATTGACTCAGCATCTCGCAGCTCTGACATTGTACGCCTGTCTTCTACCATCTCCGAACTCCAGATACTCCAACAGCGAAAGGGATCTGGGCCCAACCTAGGGCTCAGTGAAATCTCTTAATCTCTCATTTTATGGAGCTGAGACCTCCTACAAGCTAGAAGAATGATTGCCAATCTGACATCCTTCTCAGGAAAAATGCAATGTTTGTTCTGCCTGCATTCCTAACTGGAGGATAAATTCCTGGGGGCTTGAGAGAGGGAAGGGAAGGGAACATCTGATGAGGGCGAGGT
Source organism: Homo sapiens (assembly GCF_000001405.40). NCBI lineage: Eukaryota > Metazoa > Chordata > Mammalia > Primates > Hominidae > Homo > Homo sapiens. The sequence continues at coordinate 151,391 of NT_187684.1, read as the reverse complement.
GTTTTAGAGAAGTTCCACTTGCCAAGGAATGAATTACTGTTGGTCATGAAGCAACCCTGGCTGACTCAGCAGAGCAACAGCCTTGCCGTAACAGAGAACGGAGCTCATGCACGCACACTTCGACTCACTGACTCATTCAGCCACGGCTCCATGCTCAGGCTGTGCAGTGCGGAACCTTTTCCTATTGTTGCCATAACAAATTTCCACAAGATTCGTGGGTGAAAACAAAACGGTTTTTTAATTATCTTACAGTGCTGTAGCTCAAAGTAGGAAGTGCATCTTACTGGGCTAAAATCAAGGTGACAGCAAGGCTGCCTTCCCTCTGAGGATTCCAGGCAAGAATCTGCTTCTCACTTGTCCCAGCTTCTAAAGGCTCCCAGTTCCTTGGCTCCTGGTCCCCTTCCTCCTTCCTCAAAGCCCACAAAGACTGGTCACATCTCACATGGCATCACTCAGTGCCTTCTTCCTTACCACACCTCTTTCTCTGAATGCTGCTCTCCCTTCTTCCTTATCTTTTGAAAACTTGGGGATTCTATTGGGTTCACCAAGATGAAAATCCCTCATAATCTCCTGGAAATCATCCAGGATACCCTTGTTTTAAGTTCAGCTGATTAGCAACCGCAATTCCATCTACAATCTTCATTCCTCCTTTCCATGTAAAATAACATATTCACAAGCTATGGAGGCTAGGACAGGGACATTTTGGGGTGGGACAGCATTCTCCTGCCTTCCACAAACGGTGAACAAGATGCATTTGGCCTCTGCCCTTGGGACACTGATACTGCAGATGGTTAAATGGGAGGGCAGAAAATGAATGCACAAGTGGATCTATAAATGAATGATCCATTGGGAAGCATCTGTGCATGAAATCTATTTTTTGTTTGTTCTTTTGTTTATTGAGACAGAGTCGCCCTCTGTCTTCCAGGCTACAGTGCAGTGTCACAATCTTGGCTCACTGCAACCTGCGTCTCCTGGATTCAGGTGATTCTCCTGCCTCCGCCTCTCGAGTAGCTGGGATTACAGGCAACTGCCACCGTGCCCGGCTAATTCTTTTTGTATATTTTTTGTAGAGAGGATGTTTCACCACGTTGGCCAAGCTTGTCTGAAACTCCCAACCTCAAGTGATCCGACCGTCTCAGCATGCCAAAGTAATGGGACTACAGGCGTGAGCCACTGTGCCCAGCCAGAATTCAAAATCAATAATAGATAATGCTGAGTGTATGATTTTCAGGTGACAAAGAAGGTCTCACTATTCAGATATTTGTGACATTAATGAAAAACACGGATTGAACCCCTGAAAGATTGGCGGAAGGATTTTGCACACACAGCTGTCAGCCGTGAAGGCACAAAGGTGAAAACAATCTGATGTGGAAGGAAGAGGCTCTGCCTCAAATGCTGGGAATGAGGTGGGGAGAATGACAAGACGACTGTGGAGAGACGGAGAGCACACTGGGTACACAGGAAACTAAGGAGCAACAAGGAGTGTGTGTTTGACACTCACAGCCATTGGATTCACCTCGAGGTAACCAGGAATCCCTACATGATTAATATGACTGACATGAAAATAAGGGAGGCTCAGTTGCATAACTGGAATCTAGGAGACCGTGGAAAAGGCAATTCCCGCCCCACTGGTGAAATGTGGTGCTGATTTAGACACTAAATGAATGAAGTAGATGGATATAAGATATGTTTGTGAGGTAGAATCATTGACTGGAAAGGCTTGCTGGGTTTGATTTTCCTACTTGTTTAATCCTCGCTTAATTAATTTCTTTCTGAGATTTATTCATCCTACACATAAATCAATACCTGGCAAAGGAGTGACAGATATATGAGTGGTGGTGGAAATGAAGAGACTTATTATAGCATAATATACAAGTCTGTGAACAGTGGCTCACGCCTGTAACCTAGCACTGCAGGAGGCCAAGGTGGGTGGATTCCATGAAGTCAGGAGTTCCAGACCAGCCTGGCCAACGTGGTGAAACCCTATCTCTACTAAAAATACAAAAATTAGCCGAGCACGATGGTGCATCCCTGTAATCCCAGCTCCTATTCTGGAGGATGAAGCAGGAGAATGACTTCAACCCAGTAGGTGGAGGTTGCAGTGAGTGGAGATTGCATCACTGCACTCCAGCCTGGGGGACACAAGGAGACTCTATCTCAAAAAATAAAAATAAGAAATGCATAAATATAATAAAACACACACGAATGACAAAGGCACCTGAATTCCAATCATCGTTTTTCTATTTCTCTATAATTACTTCTTTGATCCTTTATCTTATCCATTAGGCAATGAGCCTAAAACCTCTTCCCTATTTGGCTTTCTGTGAGCATGAGATCACATAGAAAATGTGAAAGCCCTCAGAATCCTCCAGCACAGATCGTGGAATAGAGAAAGTGCTCTGTTCATCGCAACAAAAAACTTGCCCACTCACCCAAATCCCCCACCTCACCCCTACTTCCAATCACCTGTGGAGATTCAGATAGGCTATGGGGAGATAAACATTGATACTCCTTGGAGTGAGTCCAGATCTTGGAATCAGAGATCAGTGCCAGCACTAGCTCCTGCTCCCCTTTCCTACTAATTCACAGGAGGACAGGTGGTATTGAAGCAATAGATGGCCGAGGGGGTGGTCCTTCCCCCAGCCTCTCGGGTAGAACAGCAGCCTAACATGTGTCTCCCGAGATCACAAAGAGTAGCACGTTTCACACGGGCTTCAACACTATTTCCTGGCCATTTGACATAAGAGAATTCTACTTAGCTTTTTTTATCTTGATTTCACTTTTGTTTCCTTTTCTTGGAGAATGCAAGTTGTTTGACTCAAGAATGCCGTGGATGTAGAAATCCTAAAGCACATTCGCTGTGTATCAATCCCAGTCCAGTCTTCCCAGAGAAGACTCTAAATACCTCCTGGACTGCACCTGGGCTTATGCCAATTCCTATCACTCACCGTCACTCCAGGGAGACAGAACACACAGAGAATACATTACACAGGCAAGTTCATTACTAACAGATAAGCAGCGAGTGACAACAGAAACCTACATTTCAATGTGAGCCAGTCCCTCAAGGCTCAGAAAAGCTACTCGGGACATATGGAGTCACCCCATTTGCAGTGTAGCTGGGGGAAGCCAGAAAGCAGCCCAGCCTGGGTTTTGTACTGTGGAGCCACAGGAAGCACTCAGCTAAAGCACTGCATGACGTCCTCCTCCAGGAAGAACAGGAAGACAGCCCAGGCTGTTCTGAGACGTTCCTCCTGATCTCAGGACGTTGCTGTCTTAGTCCATTTTTGTTGCTCTAAAGGAACACTTGAGCCTGGGTAACTTCTAAAGAAAAGAGATTGGTTTGCCTCACAGTTCTGCAGGCTGTACTGGAAGCGTGGCACCAGCATCTATTTCTCGTGACGGCCTCAGGCTGCTCCCACTCTGGTAGAAGGGAAGGAGGGTCTGTCTGTGCAGAGACCACAGAGATCACACGGCAAGAGAGGGAGCAAGGGGGAGGGGGAGCGATGGAGCTTCCAAGCTCTTTTGAACAACCAGCTCTCCAGGAACTAATAGAGGGGGAACTTGCTAACCCCGTCTCCTTGGGACAGCATTGGTCTGTTCATGATGGATCCACCTCCATGACCCAAACACCTCTGAAGAGGCCCAACCTCCCACAATGGGGGTGAAATTTCAATGTGAGGTTTGAAGGGGTCAAACATCTCAACTAAAGTAGTAGTATCCTCAACACGTTCTATGGTTACTATGAGAGCTATAACTGAGAAAGCAGGAGAAAGCTGGGTCTCCCTCCATCTGGGTGCTTGTCCTAAAGGGGTGTTGTATGTGGTTACCTGTCAATCAAGAAATGTGAGGCAATTCATAAAGAGGAACTGCTATGATTAGCTTCTTATTGGTGTCTCCTCTTCTTCCAGGTAACCCCAGACACCTGCACGTTCTGATTGGGACCTCAGTGGTCATCATCCTCTTCGTCCTCCTCCTCTTCTTTCTCCTTCATCGCTGGTGCTCCAACAAAAAAAGTAAGTCTCACGAAGCAGAGGCCAGAGAGCTCAGGGCCATGTGGGGAAGCAGGATGGGAGCACTCAGGTGTGTGTTCCTCACAGACAGGATGGTCCCTGGCCCAAGGCAGCAGCCACAGAGGCAGGACTTTCTAGAGAGAGCACCAGACTCCCTGTCCCTGCCTTCAGCTCACAGACCATTGCCTGATTCTGAACTGTATCCTCATGTCCCCTGCAGCCACTCACATCCAGGAGAAGGTTCCATGACAGGCAGAAAGTGGGAGACAGAATCAATGGGATGGGAACTCAGAGCTATTCATGGGATGGGTCCTTGAGCTCAGAGAGATAGAATGTCTGAGTCTGCTGTTGGCAACTGAGGGACCTCAGGCTCGTATGGTCTCCCCCTGTATGTTGGTATCTGCTTATGAAATGAGGACCCAGAAGTGCCCTCTGAGCTGTTTTGTTGACTTCCGTCTTCTACAGATGCTGTTGTAATGGACCAAGAGCCTGCAGGGAACAGAACAGTGAACAGGGAGGTAGGTGCTCCTCGGCCCAGCCTCGTGGCTAGTGTTATTCCCAAAGAGTCCTGGAAAATGTGAGCACCCTCCCTCACTCAGGATTTCCCTCTCTCCAGGACTCTGATGAACAAGACCCTCAGGAGGTGACATATGCACAGTTGAATCACTGCGTTTTCACACAGAGAAAAATCACTCGCCCTTCTCAGAGGCCCAAGACACCCCCAACAGATATCATCGTGTACACGGAACTTCCAAATGCTGAGCCCAGATCCAAAGTTGTCTCCTGCCCATGAGCACCACAGTCAGGCCTTGAGGGGATCTTCTAGGGAGACAACAGCCCTGTCTCAAAACTGGGTTGCCAGCTCCCATGTACCAGCAGCTGGAATCTGAAGGCGTCAGTCTGCGTCTTAGGGCATCGCTCTTCCTCACACCACAAATCTGAATGTGCCTCTCTCTTGCTTACAAATGTCTAAGGTCCCCACTGCCTGCTGGAGAGAAAACACACTCCTTTGCTTAGCCCACAATTCTCCATTTCACTTGACCCCTGCCCACCTCTCCAACCTAACTGGCTTACTTCCTAGTCTACTTGAGGCTGCAATCACACTGAGGAACTCACAATTCCAAACATGCAAGTGGCTCCCTCTTAACACGGCACTTAGACACGTGCTGTTCCACCTTCCCTCATGCTGTTCCACCTCCCCTCAGACTAGCTTTCAGCCTTCTGTCAGCAGTAAAACTTATATATTTTTTAAAATAATTTCAATGTAGTTTTCCCGCCTTCAAATAAACATGTCTGCCCTCATGGTTTAGGTAATGGGACTCTTTTCTTGCCTAAGGCTTCCGGTGTTATCAGTACCATGTCCATATAATCCCATCTGTTCTCCACCGGGTTCTCACCTCTGGACTCTGAGCTTCTGGAAGCAGTGTGGAGCCTCATTTGTCTCTGGGACTCCAATTTCCATCCAAAGATGCAGCACATAGGAGGTTCCAAGGATCGGGAATCACATGAATAAGTGACATTGTTACTCTCTGCAGACCTGGAAAGCTGGCAGAGTCATTCCACAATGAAACATTTGTAGAGTCATAGGCCTTGTTAGTCTCATCTCCATGGGGACACATATCAACACATCATCTTTCATACTATAAATATACGGTCACTCCTCCGTATCTGTGGGGTTTACAGGTCTTTATTGAACAAAGTATAAATCAAAAATATTCAGAGAAAATATCCACAGAGTTCCAAAACTCATAACTATGTTGAATGGACACAAATGAAGCTGTGTGTAGGCTGTATCAGGAATTATAAGTAATCAAGAGATGATTTCATGTACACAGGAGGATGTGCATATGTTATTTGCAAGCGCTGTGCCATTTCATATAAGAGGCTTGAGCATCTACAGATTTTGGTATCTGAGTGGAGATCTCGAAACCAATCACCCAGGAATAGTGAAGGATGACCGTATATGACTTTTATTTCTCAAATTTAAATATAAATCAAAAAATGTACAACTAGATAAAAACTAAGAAGTGTTTTTATAGTGTGAGTTAGATTTATTTTTTACTAGGTGTAACCCATTGGTTTAATATTATTTATTGAGAAGACATTCTATGCCACCTTAAACCACACGGCAGCCTTTGTCAACTCTAAAGGGACTGTGTGTACATGGATGTATTTTAGACAGTTTCTGCTAAGGGGCTGTCTGTGTCCACACTCTTGAGTATGCTGCACTTTATGTAGCCTTATAGAACCCTTTAAATTTAGTAGCCAGAGCCCTCTAATTTGTTATTATAGGCTATTTGCTTTTTTTTTCTTGAGGCGGAGTCTTGCTCTGTCGCCCAGGCTGGACTGCAGTGACACAATCTCAGCTCACTGCAACCTCCGCCTCCCAGGTTCAAGCGATTCTCGTGCCTCAGCCTCTTGAGTAGCTGGCGTTACAGGTGCCTGCCACCAGGCATGGCTAATTTTTGGATTTTTAGCAGAGACACGGTTTCACTATGTTGGCCAGGCTGCTCTCAATCCCCTCATCTCAGTTGATCCGCCCACCTCGGCTTCCCGACGTGCTGGGGAAACTTGATTTTCTATAGCATTATGTTACTGGATATTTCTGTAAAATTTAAAATGAGGGAGGGAGAGAGACAGAGAGAGATCAAACTCCAGAGTTGGGACTCTGGAATCTTGGGTCATGAGACAAATTTTAGATTAAACTACAAAACTCCAGAATTTACAGGTGTGGTTTTTGCTGATAAAGTACAATTCTAAGATTGTAAATAATTGCATAATCCTTCCCTGGGAATTTAAATCATTTTAACTGGTTCTGCTGTAATACTAGAAATACAAGCATGAAAAATTCTAATGGTTTGTTAGTCACAATCACTCCGAAAACATTAATAATACCTATTAGATACTTCGCATATTACACAGGAAGAAGAGTTTGAATCTCAGATAAAAACAATAAAAATACATGAAAAGTCTTTCATGTTAGCACAGATTTTACGCATCTCGTGTTCGGATAAAAATACATGAAAAGTCTTTCACGTTAGCACAGATTTTAGGCATCTTGTGTTCAGGAGGTTGGATCTGAGACGTGTTTTGAGTTGGTCATAGTGAAGGACGCGAGGTGTCGATTCTAGTGAGAACAATTTCCAGGAAGCCATGTTCCGCTCTTGAGCGAGCACCCACTGGGCCTCATGCAAGGTAGAAAGAGCCTGTGTACGTCACCCTCCCATGATGTGGTCAACATGTAAACTGCATGGGCAGGGCGCCAAATAACATCCTGTGCGCTGCTGAGCTGAGCTGGGGCGTGGCCGCCTGTCTGCACTGGCAGCACCATGTCGCTCATGGTCGTCAGCATGGCGTGTGTTGGTGAGTCCTGGAAAGGAATAGAGGGAGGGAGTGTGGGGATGGAGATCTGGGCCCAGAGGTGGAGATATAGGCCTGGAGGTGGAGTTATGGGCCTGGAGTGGAGATCTGGGCCTGGAGTGGATATATGGGCCTGGAGATGGAGTGATGGGCCTAGAAGTGGAGATCTGGGTCTGGAGTGGAGATATGGGCCTGGAGGTGGAGATATGGGCCTGGAGTGGAGATCTGGGCCTGGAGTGGAGATAGGAACCTGGAGGGGAGATAGGATCCTGGAGTGGAGATATTGGCCTGGGATGGAGATATGGGCCTGGAGTGGAGACATGGGCCTGAAGGTGGAGATATGGGCCTGGAGGTGGAGATATAGGCCTGGAGTGGAGTTATGGGCCTGGAGGTGGAGTTATGGGCCTGTAGTAGAGTTATGGGCCAGGAGTGGAGATATGGGCCTAGAGGTGGAGTTATGGGCCTGGAGTGGACATATGGGCCTAGGATGGAGATATGGGCCTGGGTGTGGAGATATGGGCTTGGGGTGGAGATATGGGCCTGGATTGGAGATATGGGCCTAGGGTGGAAATATTGGCCTGGAGTGGAGATATGGGCCTGGAGTGGAGATATGGGCTTGGGGTGGGGATAGGGGCCTGGGGTGCGGATATGGGCCTGGAGGCTGGGTCTCTACACAGCCGACAGCCCTGTTCTTGGGTGCAAGCAGGCACTGAGGGTGAGTTTCCCTTCAGCCCAGCAAGGGCCTGGCTACCAAGACTCACAGCCCAGTGGGGGCAGCAAGGGAGTCCTGGTTTGCCTGCAGATGGATGGTCCATCATGATCTTTCTTTCCAGGGTTCTTCTTGCTGCAGGGGGCCTGGCCACATGAGGGTGAGTCCTTCTCCAAACCTTCGGGTGTCATCTCCCCACATAAGAGGATTTTCCTGAAACAGGAGGGAAGCCCGGTGGGGGATTTTCTTATAAACAAGGATGAGGAGACCCTGGGGTGCTCAGCCCACAGTTCCGACCTTGCCCTCCCCAGCCTTCCTTTCCCTTGGCTGAGTCAGGTTCTGTGGGAACCCGGGAGGGTAGACTGGGGTCCTCCAAGCTGGGCTGTGCGGCTGGGATGTGGTGTCACTGGCAGAGGAAGGGAGCAAAGCAGTGCTAGGAACAGCAGGCCTCTGAGGACAAAGGTGTAACTCACACCCTCCAGCGTTTCCATGACGGTAGGGGCTGCAGTGTGGCTGCTGTCATTCTACCTCAGAGGTGGGGGAACCCCAGCCAGGGCCCTGACCTTCCAAATCCTCTGTTGGGGGCTCAGTTGTGTATTGTGGTTCACACATTGGCTGATATTCCATTCACAAAGAACATGCCCTCGACTCCATGTCTATTTGTGTTGTTTTATGTGAGTAATCTTGCAGGATTAAAATCTAGTAGGAGTCCCTTACTCAGCACTTGCTCAAAGTTCTCAGCTGACACTTTTGTTGTAGAGAGACGCCAAGTCTATGCGGGGTGGGTCCTTCCCGTAGCCATGGGCACCCAAGTGTGGTAGGAGCCTTAGAAACGAGGAAAGTGGGGAGAATCTTCTGAGCACTGGCAGGGAGGGGCGGCTCCACATCCTCCTTTCTAAGGTGGCGCCTCCTTCTCCCCCAGGTGGTCAGGACAAGCCCTTGCTGTCTGCCTGGCCCAGCGCTGTGGTGCCTCGAGGAGGACATGTGACTCTTCTGTGTCGCTCTCGTCTTGGGTTTACCATCTTCAGTCTGTACAAAGAAGATGGGGTGCCTGTCCCTGAGCTCTACAACAAAATATTCTGGAAGAGCATCCTCATGGGCCCTGTGACCCCTGCACACGCAGGGACCTACAGATGTCGGGGTTCACACCCACGCTCCCCCATTGAGTGGTCAGCACCCAGCAACCCCCTGGTGATCGTGGTCACAGGTCAGAGGACTCATGTCTGGGCTTCTCCTTCTCCCACTTCCTGAATCCCAGAGCATCTGGTGGGGGTGTCCACCAGGGTCCAATCATCCAGGCCCTGACTGTATTTGGTGTCAATGGGGATTGAATACAGGGGAATGGGTGCTGTGGTGGAAAGAGTAACTGTCGGCAGCATGGCTATATTGTAATCCTTGGAGCCTGTGACTATTTATGTTATAGGACATGGGACTGAAGGGGAAGATGGAGTTCAGGTTGTTGATGAGTTGACCTTGAGATGGGGAGACGACCTGGACTCTCCCACTGGGCTCAGTGTAATCACAAGGGTCCACATGAGAGGAGGAGGAAGAGGAGAGTGGGGATTAGAGCAGCGTAGTGGGAGGGAGAGTCCACCAGCCACTGCGGGCTTTGAAAGTGGAGGAAGGCCAGAAGCCACGGAATGCAGGTGGCCTTTAGGGGCTGGAGAAGTCAATGGAACTGATTCTCCCGAGTCTCCAGAGGGAATGCAGCCCTGCAGATGCCTTGATTGTAGCCCAGGAAGAACAGGGTCTGATTTCTGTCAACAGAAGTGTTCTCTCCCGCCGCCATGTTTGTGATAATTTTCTGCAGCAACAACAGGAAACAACACAGGAATCCAGGTCAAGGACAAGTTAAAAAACCAAACAAGAGGGTTGGCTACCCTAAGGTCAGCAAGGGTGCACTGCTGATGCCACCACCAGGCTGGAGCCGCATAGGGAGGGATCCACAGGGAGAGTCGGGGGTGGAGGGTGAGAGAGAGAGAGAGCATTAGGTCATAGAGCAGGGGAGTGAGTTCTCAGCTCAGGTGTGAGGGGAGCTGTGACAAGGAAGAACCTCCCTGAGGAAACTGCCTCTTCTTCCAGGTCTATTTGGGAAACCTTCACTCTCAGCCCAGCCGGGCCCCACGGTTCGCACAGGAGAGAACGTGACCTTGTCCTGCAGCTCCAGGAGCTCATTTGACATGTACCATCTATCCAGGGAGGGGAGGGCCCATGAACCTAGGCTCCCTGCAGTGCCCAGCGTCAATGGAACATTCCAGGCTGACTTTCCTCTGGGCCCTGCCACCCACGGAGGGACCTACACATGCTTCGGCTCTCTCCATGACTCACCCTATGAGTGGTCAGACCCGAGTGACCCACTGCTTGTTTCTGTCACAGGTGAGGAAAGCCCATGCCTGTCCCATGTCCTGTGATCCTAGAGCCTTAGCTGAGGAGCTTCCTGCTGATGATGGAGAGAAGCATGGACAGATGCAGAGAGAACACGCAGCATGGTGTGAGGGAGGGATCAGGGCACAGGATGGCAGACAGGGCACCTCCAAACCCTCCTGCACGGCCTGCATGGAGGCCCGCGGCCAGGGCTCCAGGCACCCAGGCAGATGGAGAAAGTGGTCAGGACAGACCCAGAGGAGGGAGACTCAGCTCAGTTTGGGGAGATCAGAGGCTCCCTCAGACCCTAAACCTTACCCATTTCCCAGAAGCCCATACTGGCCTCTCACCCACACAGAGATGTCATCACCAGCAACCCCTACACCCTTTTCTTTCCGTTTGAAAAAACATTTATTTAGGTTAAATGTAACTATATAATTTGCCACCTTTACCATTTTTAAAAGTAAAATCTAGTGGTCATAAATTCCTTTATATGCAGGGTGCAGTGGCTCACAGTTATAATCTCGGTGCTTTGAGAGGCCAAGGAAGGTGGATCATTTAAGATCAGAGGCTCGAGATCAGCCTGGCCAACATGAGGGAAATTCATCTTTACTAAACAGACAAGAAAAATTGGCTGGGCATGCTGGCATGCACCTGTATTCCTAGCTACATGGGAGGCTGAGGCAGGAGAAGTACGTAAGCCCAGGAGGCAGAGGTTGCACTGAGCTGAGATCAGGCCACTGCACTGCAGCCTGGGAGACAGAGAGAGATTCTGTCTCTAAATAAATAAATACATCTATATTCTTTTTTATTGTTGTTGTTACACTCCACCCTTTACTTCCTGCCCTCTGGTAGCCACCATTCTACTCTCTACCTTCATGAGATCCACCTTTTAGCTCCTGTATATGGGTGAGAAATGGGAATCTTTGCAATGACCTCCAGTTCCATCCATGTGGCTGCAAATGTCAGGATGTTATTCTTTCTACGGATGAGTACTCTCCACTGTGTGTGTGTACTACATTCTCTCTATCCATTCACCCACTGACGGGCAGGTAAGTTGACTCCACATCTTGGCTACTGTGAACAGTGCTGCACCAATCGTATGAGTGCAGATATCACTTCGATACACTGATGTCCTTCCCTTTGGGTTTACACCCAGTAGTGGAATTGCTAGATCCTATCAACAGGGTACCAGGGTTCTCCTTTCTCTACCACCTTGCCAGCATTTATTTTGTCTGTGTTTCAGATAAAAGCCACTTTAATGGGATGAGATGATAGCTCACTGTGATTTCAATTGGCATGATTAGTGATACTGAGCACTTTTTCATGTACATGTTCGCCATTTGTACGTTTTGTTTGTTGAGAAATGTCTGTTCAGGTCTTTTACTAATTGTTAAATTAAATTCATTGTTTTATACCGTTGCTTGAGTTTTATGTATATTCTAGTTATTAATCCCCTCTCAGATGCATACTTCACAAATATTTTCTCCCAATTTGTCTCTTCTTCACTTTGTTGGTTGCTTCCTTTGCGGTGCAGAAGCTGCTTACTTTGATGTAATCCCGAAGGTCTATTATTTTGTTTTGATTTCTTGTGTTTTTGAGATTTCAAATAAAATGTCTTTCCTCAGACAAATGTCCTGGAGCATTTCCCCACTCTTTCCTTTTAGACGCTTAATGGTTTCAGGCCTTAAGTGTTTCTTCCATTTTCATTTGATTTCTGTGTATGGTGAGAGGTCGAGGTGCAGTTTCATCAACTGCATGTAGATACCAGTTTTCCCTGCTCCATTTATTGAAAAGACCGTCGTTTCCTGATTGCAGGTTCTTGGCACGTACAATCGTCAAAGTCCATTGGATGTGAATGCATGAATTATATCTGTGTTCTTCATTCTGCTCCATTGCTCTAAGGGCCTTTATGCCAATGTCATGCTGTTGTGCTTACTACAGCTTTGTAACATATTTTTAAGTCAGGGAGTGTGAGGCCTCCAGCACCTGTTTTGTCTTTATACCTCGAAATCTCAGGACACTGGGCATCATTTAACAATGATGATGGAGAAGGGGACGCCAGGACTCCTAGGGCCCAACATTAGATAACAGAGTGTTGGCCATGAACCAACCTCAAAGATTTCCTTTGAGTAGAAGACAGGCATCCTCATTTCCTCACCTCTCTCCTGTCCTGTGTTCTAGGAAACTCTTCAAGTAGTTCATCTTCACCCACTGAACCAAGCTCCAAAACTGGTGAGTAAAGATCCCTCTTATCTCTGCTTTTGGAAACCTGGGGAGGTTGGTATCTTGGATTCAAGCATTGGCTCAGCACCTCCCAGCTCTGTGATTGTGGGCCTGTCTTCTAACATCTCTGACCCCCAGACACTACAACAGCGAAGGGTATCTGAGGACAGCAAAGGGCTCAGTGAAGTCTCTTCATTTCAAATTTCTGCAGCTGAGACCTCCTCCAAGCTAGACGGACGAGTACAAATCTGACATCCTTCTCAGGGATAAAGTGGTGTTTTTTCTGCCTGCATTCCAAATTGGAGGATAAATTTGAGGGGACTTGAGAGAGGGAGGGGAAGGGAACATCTGATGAGGGAAAGGTGATTTAGAGAAGTTCCACTTGCCAAGGAATGAGCCCCTGTTGGTCATGATGCGACCTTGGCTGAGTCAGCAGAGCAAGAGCCTTGCAGTAAGAAGGAACGTAGTTCATCCACAAATATGACACTTCCACTTACTCACTTATTCAGCCACTGCCCTGTGCTCTGACTGTACAGTGTGGAACCCTTTCCTGCTGTTGCCATAATAAATCTCCACAAACTTCATGGATGACAACAACACAGCTTTTAAAATTATCTTACAGTGTTATAGCTCAGAAATATGAAATGCATTTCACTGGGCTAAAATCAAGGTGACTGCGAGGCTGCCTTTTCTCTGAAGGTTCCAGGCGAGAATCGGCTTTTCACATTTCCCAGCTCCCAGAGGTTCCCACGTTCCTTGGCATCTGGTCCCCATCCTCCTTCCTCGAAGCCCACAAAAGCTCATCACATCTCTCACGTGGCATCACTCAGATCCCTCTTCCTTACCTCACCTCTTTCTCTAAGTGTTGCTCTGACTTTTTCTTCCTCTTTTAAAGACTTTGGGATTCTATTGAGTTTACCAAGATAATCCATCACAATCTCCCTAAAATCACCCAAGATAACCTCTTTTTAAGTTCAGCTGATTAGCAACCATAATTCCATCTGCAATCTTTATTCCTCCTTTCATGTAAAATAACATATTCACAAGCTATGGAGGCTAGGACAGGGACATTTTGGGGGTGGGCCAGCATTCTCCTGCCTTCCACAAATGGTAAACACGATGCATTTGGCCTCTGCTCTTAGGACACTGACATTGCAGATGGGCAAATGGGAGGGCAGAATATGAATGCACAAGTGGACCAGTAATGATTGATCCATTGGGAAGCATCCGTGCATGAAATCTATTTACCTATTTATTTATCTATTTATCTATTTATGTATTTATTTATTTGCGGCGAAGTCATTCTCTGTCCCCGGGCTGGAGTGCAGTGGCATGACCTCAGCTCACCACAACCTCCGCCTCCCGGGTTCAGGCGATTCTCCTGCCTCAGCCTCCTGACTAGTTGTGATTCCAGTCCCCTCCACCACACCCAGCTAATATTCTTTTATATTTTTTAGTAGAGATGGAGTTTCACCATGTTGCGCAGATTGTCTCCAACTCCCAACCTCAAGTGATCCGACCGTCTCAGCATCCCAAAATGCTGGGACTCAAGGTGTGAGACACTGCGCCCAGCCGAAATTTAAAATAAATAATAAAGAATTCTAAGTGTATAATTTCAGGAGACAGAGAAAGTCTCACTAATCAGATAATATTTGTGACCATAATGAAAAAAAAAAGTAGATTCAACCCCTGGAAGATTGGCGGAAGGATTTTCCACACACAGCTGTCAGCCGTGAAGGCACAAATGTGAAAACAATCTGATGTGGAAGGAAGAGGCTCTGCATTCAAATGCTGGGAATGACGTGGGGAGAATGACAAGACGACTGTGGAGAGACGGAGAGCACTCTGGGTACACAGGAAACTAAGGAGGAACAAGGAGCGTGTGTTTGACACTCACAGCCATTGGATTCACCTCGGGGTAGCCAGGAATCCCTACATGATTAATATGACTGACATGAAAATAAGGACGCCCAAGTGCGTAACTGGAATCTAGGAGACCGTGGAAAAGGCAATTCCCGCCCCACTGGTGAAATGTGGTGCTGATTTAGACACTAAATGAATGAAGTAGATGGGTATAAGATATGTCTGTGAGGTAGAATCATTTGTAGGGAGGGCTTGCTGGATTTGATAATGCCTACTTATTTAATTTTGAATATATTAATTTCTTTCTGAGATTTATTTTTCCTACATGTAAATCAATATCTGGCAGAGGAGTGATTGATAGATAGATGAGGGGTGGTGCAAATGAAGGGACTTATTATAGCATAATATACAAGTCTGTGAATGGGAGCTTACGCCTGTAACCCAACACTTTGGGAGGCCAAGGCGTTTGGATCACTTGAGGTCAGGAGTTTGAGACCAGCCTGGCCAACATGGAGAAACCCCATGCTCTTTTTAGCAACCAGTCCTAGGGACCTCATGGAGAACTTGCCAACCACGTCTCATGGGGACAGCATTAATGTATTCATGATGGATCCACCCCCATAACTGGAACGTCTCTCAATAGGCCCAGCCTCCCACACTGCGAGATAAGTGTCAACGTGAGGTTTGGCGGGGTCAAACATCCAAACTATAGCAGTGGTATCCCCAGCATGTTCTCTGATTATTTTGAGAACTATAACTGAGAAAGCAGGAGAAAGCTGGGTATCCTGCCATCGGGGAACTTGTCCTAAACAGATGTTGTATGTGCTTAGCTGGCAACCAAGAAATGAGAGACAATCCATAAAGAGGAACTGCTATAATTAGCTTCTTATTGGATTCCCACCTTCCCCCAGGTATCCGCAGACACCTGCACATTCTGATTGGGACCTCAGTGGCTATCATCCTCTTCATCATCCTCTTCTTCTTTCTCCTTCATTGCTGCTGCTCCAACAAAAAGAGTAAGTCTCACGAAGCAGAGGTCAGAGAGCTCAGGACCATGTGGGGAAGCAGGATGGGAGCACACTGGTGTGTGTTCCTGACTGGCAGGATGGTCCCTGGACCAAGGCAGGAGCCACAGAGGCAGGGCTTTCTAGAGAGAGCACCAGACACCCTGCCCCTGCCTTCAGCTCACAGACCATTGCCTGATTCTGAACTGTATCCTCACGTCCCCTGCAGCCACTGACATCCAGGAGAAGGTTCCATGACAGGCAGAAAGGGGAGACAGAATCACTGGGATGGGAACTCAGAGCTATTCATGGGATGGGTCCTTGAGCTCAGAGAGATAGAATGTCTGGGTCTGGCTGATGACAGCTGAGGGACCTCAGGCACCTACGGCCTCCCGCTGTGTGTTGGTGTCTGCTCATGAAATGAGGACCCAAAAGTGCCCTTCCAGCTGTTTTGATGACTTCTATCTCCTACAGATGCTGCTGTAATGGACCAAGAGCCTGCCGGGGACAGAACAGTGAACAGGGAGGTAGGTTCTCCTCAGCCCAGCCTCATGGATTGAGTCTCATTCCCTAATAGTCTTGAAGAATGTGAGCACCCTCCCTCACTCAGCATTTCCCTCTCTCCAGGACTCTGATGATCAAGACCCTCAGGAGGTGACATATGCACAGTTGGATCACTGCGTTTTCACACAGACAAAAATCACTTCCCCTTCTCAGAGGCCCAAGACACCTCCAACAGATACCACCATGTACATGGAACTTCCAAATGCTAAGCCAAGATCATTGTCTCCTGCCCATAAGCACCACAGTCAGGCCTTGAGGGGATCTTCTAGGGAGACAACAGCCCTGTCTCAAAACCGGGTTGCTAGCTCCCATGTACCAGCAGCTGGAATCTGAAGGCATCAGTCTTCATCTTAGGGGATCGCTCTTCCTCACACCACAAATCTGAACATGCCTCTCTCTTGCTTACAAATGTCTAAGGTCCCCACTGCCTGCTGGAGAGAAGACACACTCCTTTGCTTAGCCCACAATTCTCTATTTCACTTGACCCCTGCCCACCTCTCCAACTGAACTGGCTTACTTCCTAGTCTACTTGAGGCTGCAATCACACTGAGGAACTCACAATTCCAGACATACAAGAGGCTCCCTCTTAACATGGCACTGAGACACGTGCTGTTCCACCTTCCCTCATGCTGTTTCACCTTTCCTCAGACTATTTTCCAGCCTTCTGTCAGTCAGCAGTGAAACTTATAAAATTTTTTGTGATTTCAATGTAGCTGTCTCCTTTTCAAATAAACATGTCTGCCCTCATTGCTTTAGGTAATGTGACACTATTCGCTGAAAGAAACCGCTGTTATCATTACCATGTCCACATAACCCCATCTGTTATCCACTGGGTTCTCTCCCCTGGACTCTGAGCTTCTGGAAGCAGGGTGGAGCCTCATTTGTCTCTGGGACTCCAATTTCCATCCAAAGATGCAGCACATAGGAGGTTCCAAGGATCATGAATCACATGAACAAGTGATATTCTTACTCTCTGCAGACCTGGAAAGCTGGCAGAGTCATTCCACGATGAAACATTTGTAGAGTCATAGGCCTTGTTAGTCTCATCTCCATGGGGACACATATCAACACATCATCTTTCATGCTATATATATATATACAGTCGCTCCTCCGTATCTGTGGGGTTTACAGGTGTTTATTGAACCAACTATAAATAAAAAATATTCAGAGAAGAAAATCCACAAACTTTCAAAAAGCAAAACTATGTTGAAGGGACACAAATGAAGCAGTGTGTAGGCCATATCAGGAATTATAAGTAATCTAGAGATGATTTCATGTATACAGGAGGATGTGCATGGGTTATATGCAAGCGCTGTGCCATTTCATGTAAGAGGCTTCAGCATCTGCAGATTTTGGTATCTGAGTGGAGATCCTGAAACCAATCACCCAGGAATAGTGAAGGATGACCGTATAAAACTGTTATTTCTAAATTTTAAATATAAATCATAAAAAAATTATAAACTAGATAAAAACAAGAAGTGTTTTTATAGTGTGAGAATAAGTTTAGATTTATTTTTTCCTACGTGTAACCCTTTGGTTTAATATTATTTATTGAGAAGACATTCTATGCCACCTTAAACCACAGGGCAGCCTTTGTCAACTCTAAAGGGACTGTGTGTACACGGATGTATTTTAGACACTGTTTCTGCTAAGGGGCTCTCTGTGTCCACACTCTTGGGGATGCTGCACTTCATGTAGCCTTATAAAACCCTTTAAATTTAGTAGCCAGAGCCCTCTAATTTGTTATTATAGGCTACTTGCTATTTTTTTTTTCTTAAGGCGGAATCTTGCTCTGTCACCCAGGCTGGACTGTAGTAGTGCAATCTCAGCTCACTGCAAACTCCGCCTCCCAGGTTCAAGCGATTCTCGTGCCTCAGCCTCTTGAGTAGATGGCATTACAGGTGTCTGCCACCAGGCACGGCTAATTTTTGAATGTTTAGCAGAGACACGGTTTCACTATGTTGGCCAGGCTGCTCTCAAACTCCTCATCTCAGTTGATTCGCCCACCTCGGCTTCCAAACATGCTGGGGGAAACTTGATTTTCTATAGCATTATGTTACTGGATATTTCCGTAAAATTTAAAATGAGGGAGGGACAGAGACAGAGAGGGAGCAAACTCCAGAGTTGGGACTCTGGAATCTTGGGTCATGAGACAAATTATAGATAAAACTATAAAAATCCAGAATTTACATGTGTGGTTTTTGCTGATAAAGTACAATTCGAAGATTGTAAATAATTGCATAATCCTTTCCTGGGAGTTTAAATCATTTTAACTGGTTTTGCTGTAATACTAGAAATACAAGCATGAAAAATTCTAATGGTTTATTAGTCACAATGACTCCGAAAACATTAATAATACCTATTAGATATTTTGCATATTACACATGAAGAAGAGTTTGAATCTCAGATAAAAACAATAAAAATACATGAAAAGTTTTTCACGTTAGCAGAGATTTTAGGCATCCTGTGTTCCGGAGGTTGGATCTGAGACGTGTTTTGAGTTGGTCATAGTGAAGGACACGAGGTGTCAATTCTAGTGAGAACAATTTCCAGGAAGCCGTGTTCTGCTCTTGAGCGAGCACCCACTGGGCCTCATGAAAGGTAGAAAGAGCCTGCGTACTTCACCCTCCCATGATGTGGTCAACATGTAAACTGCATGGGCAGGGCGCCAAATAACATCCTGTGCGCTGCTGAGCTGAGCTAGGGGTGCGGCCGCCTGTCTGCTCCGGCACCACCATGTCACTCATGGTCATCAGCATGGCGTGTGTTGGTGAGTCCTGGAAGGGAATAGAGGGAGGGAGCGCGGGGATGGAGATCTGGGCCCAGAGGTGGAGATATAGGCCTGGAGGTGGAGTTATGGGCCTGGAGTGGAGATCTGGGCCTGGAGGGGATATATGGGCCTAGAGATGGAGTGATGGGCCTAGAAGTGGAGATCTGGGTCTGGAGTGGAGATATGGGCCTGCAGTGGAGATATGGGCCTGGAGTGGAGAGAGGAACCTGGAGAAGAGATAGGAACCTGGATGGGAGGTAGGAGCCTAGGGTGGAGATATGGGACTGGAGTGGAGATATGGGACTGGAGTAGAGATATGGGCCTGGAGTGGAGTTATGGGCCTGGAGTGAAGTTATGGGCCTGGAGGTGGAGATATGGGCCTGGAGTGGAGATATGGGCCTGGAGGTGCAGATATGGACCTGGAGTGGAGATATGGCCCTGGAGTGGAGATGTGGGTCTGGAGTGGAGATATGGGCCTGGAGGTGGAGATAAGGGCCTGGAGTGGAGATATGGGCCTGGAGTGGAGATATGAGCCTGGAGATGGAGATATGGGCCTGGAGTGGAGATATGGGCCTGGAGGTGGAGATATGGGCCTGGAGTGGAGATATGGGCCTGGAGTGGAGATATGGGCCTGGAGTGGAGATATGGGCGTGGGGTGGAGATATGGGCCTTGAGTGGAGATATGGGACTGAAGTGGAGATATGGGTGTGGGGTGGAGATATGGGACTGGAGTGCAGATATGGGCATGGGGTGGAGATATGGGACTGGAGTGGAGATATGGGCGTGGGGTGGAGATATGGGACTGGAGTGGAGATATGGGCGTGGGGTGGAGATATGGGCCTGGAGTGGAGATATGGGACTGGAGTGGAGATATGGGCATGGGGTGGAGATATGTGCCTGGAGTGGAGATATGGACGTGGGGTGGAGATATGGGCCTGGAATGGAGATATGGGCCTGGAGTGGAGATATGGGCGTGGGGTGGAGATATGGGACTGGAGTGGAGATATGGGCCTGTTGTGGAGATATGGGCTTGGAGTGGAGATATGATCCTGGAGTGTAGTTATGGGCCTGGAGGTGGAGATCTGGGCCCGGGGTGGAGATATGGGCCTGGAGTGGAGATATGGGCCTGGGGAGGAGATATGGGCCTGGAGTGGAGATATGGGCCTGGACTGGAGTTATGGGCCTAGGGTGGAGATCTGAGCCTGGATTGGAGATGTGGGCCCAGATTGGCTATATGGGCCTAGGGTGGGAATATCAGCCTGGAGTGGAGATATGTGCCTGGAGTGGAGATATGGGCTTGGGGTAGGGATATGGGCCTGGAGGCTGGGTCTCTGCACAGCCGAGAGCCCTGTTCTTGGGTGCAGGTAGGCACTGAGGGTGAGTTTCCCTTCGGCCCAGGAAGGGCCTGGCTACCAAGACTCACAGCCTAGTGGGGATAGCAAGGAAGGCCTGGTTTGCCTGCAGATGGATGGTCCATCATGATCTTTCTTTCCAGCGTTCTTCTTGCTGCAGGGGGCCTGGCCACATGAGGGTAAGTCCTTCTCCAAACCTTAAGGTGTCATCTCCCCACATAAGAGGATTTTCCTGAAACGGGAGGGAAGTCCTGTCAGGGAGTCTCTCTTAAACTAGAAAGAGGGGACCCTGGGGTGCTTGGCCCACAGTTCCGACCTTGCCTCCCTGGCCTTTCATTTCCTTGGCAGAGTCAAGTTCTGTGGGGACCAGGGTTACACTAGGGTGCTCAAAGCTGGGGTGTGTGGTGGGAAAGTGGTAGGAACAGCAGATCCTCTGAGGACAAAGGTGTTACTCACACACTTCAGCGTTTCCATGACGGTAGGGGCTGCAGTGTGGCTGCTGTCATTCTACCAGAAGAGGTGGGAAACCACAGCCATGGCCCTGACATTCCAAATCCTCTGATGGGGGCTCAGTTGTTTATTTTCATTCAGGCATCTGCTGATATTCCATTCTCAAAGGACATGCCCTCCACCCCATGTCTACCCTGTGTTGTTTTATGTGAGTAATCTTACAGTATTAAAATCTAGTAGGAGTCTCTTACTCAGCACTTGCTCAAAGTTCTCAGCTGACACTTTTGTTGTAGGGAGACAGCTTGTCTTTGTGGGATGAGTCCTTCCTTTAGCCCTAGGCACCAAGGTGTGATAGCAGCCATAGAAATGTGGAAAGTGGGGAGAATCTTCTGAGCACAGGGAGGGAGGGGCGGCTCCACATCCTCCTCTCTAAGGCGGCGCCTCCTTCTCCCCAAGGTGGTCAGGACAAGCCCTTGCTTTCTACCTGGCCCAGCCTTGTGGTGCCTCCAGAACATGTGACTCTTCGGTGTCACTCTAATCTTGGGTTTAACAACTTCAGTCTGTACAAGGATGATGGGGTGCCTGTCCCTGAGCTCTACAACAGAATATTCTGGAAAAGCCTTTTCATGGGCCCTGTGACCCCGTCACACACAGGGACCTATAGATGCCGGGGTTCACACACACACTCCCCCAGTGGGGGGTCGGCACCCAGCAACCCCCTGGTGATCGTGGTCACAGGTCAGAGGGCTCCTGTCTGGGATTCTCCTTGTCCCACCTCCTGAATCCCAGAGCTTCTGGTAGGCATGTCCTTGAGGGTCCCTTCACGCAGGCCCTGACTGTATTTGGGGTAAAGGGGGATTGAATACAGGGAAATGGGTGCTGTGGTGGGAAGAATAATTGTCCCCAGTGATGACTACATTCTAATCCCTGGAGTCTGTGACTATTTATGTTATAGGGGAAGGGACTGAAGGGGAAGATGGAGCTCAGGTTGTTGATGAGTTGACCTTGAGATGGGGAGAAGGCCTGGACTGTCCCCCTGGGCTCAGTGTAATGACAAGTGTCCACAGGAAAGGAGGAGGAAGAGGGGAGTGGGGATTAGAGCAGCGTAATGGGAGTCTCCATCAGCTTTGAAGGTGGAGGAAGGCCAGGAGCCATGAATGCAGGTGGCCTATAGAGGCTGGAAAAGTCAAGGAACTGATTCTCCTGAGTCTCCAGAGGGAACGAAACCCTACAGGTGCCTTGATTTTAGCCCAGGAAAAACAGGGCCCAACTTCTGCCTCCAGAAATGGAAGGGGTCAGTGTGCTCTCTCCTGCTGCCATGCTGCTGATAATTTTCTACAGCAGCAACAGGAAACCAACACCGGAACCCAGCTCGAGGAAAAGTTAAGAAAGGACACAAGGATAGCCGGGCGTGGTGGCAGGTGCATGTAATCCTAGCGACTTGGGAGGCTGAGGGCAGGAGAATCACTTGAACCCAGGAGACAGAGGTTGCAGTGAGCCTAGACCACACCACTTCACTCCAGCCTGGGCAAAGGAGTGAGACTCTGTCTCCAAAATTAATTAATTAAAGAAACCAAACAAGGAGAAGGTTGGCTACACCAAGATCAGCAAGTGAGGGATGATGATGCCACCACCAGGCTCCATCCACATAGGGAGGGGTTGATACTCCTCAAACCAGCACCAGGAGCCAGCCTATGGAAGCTGGCACAGGCATGGCAAGAGTGGCTCCCAGTCCCCACCAGGAACAGGGTGTGTGGACACTGGTGCCTGCCTTACTGATCAGTTCATACCTCCTGCCAAGGATTCCAATTCGACCAAAAGAGATTGAACCAGGCTGCTAAGAGCCTGGATGTGCAGCCTATCCTGGTTCCTCTTCCACCCCCACATATACAGCAGGAAAGACATTAGTTCAAAATAGATACAACAGCCGAAGAGATGAGGCTGAGCCCAGCGGCAAGGGAATCAGAGGTTACTAGAGACAGAGGGACAGAGAAGAGGGAGGGAGACAGATGGAAGGACCTGCACCAGGAGTTATGGGCACAGAAAAGAACATGAAGACACAGAGAGGAAGGAGAGAGACAGACACCAGGGAGGGGAAGCCTCACTCAATCCAGGTGCCATGGATGGGATGATAAAGAGAGACACCTTCTAAATTCACAAACTCTCTTCCTAGGATTCCGCAGAAAACCTTCCCTCCTGGCCCACCCAGGTCCCCTGGTGAAATCAGAAGAGACAGTCATCCTGCAATGTTGGTCAGATGTCATGTTTGAGCACTTCCTTCTGCACAGAGAGGGGACGTTTAACCACACTTTGCGCCTCATTGGAGAGCACATTGATGGGGTCTCCAAGGGCAACTTCTCCATCGGTCGCATGACACAAGACCTGGCAGGGACCTACAGATGCTACGGTTCTGTTACTCACTCCCCCTATCAGTTGTCAGCGCCCAGTGACCCTCTGGACATCGTGATCACAGGTGAGAGTGTCCAGACATTCTTCTCATTGTCATTGGGATGCAGAGTGAATGATCCAGGACTTGGAGGCCCAGGTGGTTGTAAGGAAGATGAGCTTGGTATTCTTATGGAGAGAGACTGACTTGGTGAGGTCTGTACCAACAGAGACAGAGAAACAGGAGACACAAGTACAGACCAGGTGTCATAACAGAGGACACACACAGGGGCCTTTCCGAGAGTTAGAAAAGACAGAAGGAGTTAAAGGAGACAGACAGACAGACATGTCCCAGAGAGAGGTGTCCCTCCATGCTGACTTTGCTCAGAGACCTGGCACATGTTAGAAGTTTCATTTCTGTTTTACCTCCACAAAGTGTTCTCTACCAGGAGAACCCAAGGACACCCATATTTCTGACCTGAGTTGGGCCCTATGGCCTCAGGCCTTCTGGCACCTACAGATGCCATGTTTATTCTGACACCTCTGCCTTCCAGGTAATGGAGAGTAATCGTCCCAGGATATCATGGCCCCAGAACACCAACCCCTGTATGCTGTGTGAACTTGTAGTCTCCAGACTGGATTCTGAGGCTCACATTCCAAATAACCCCACATATGAGAGGATCACTGAGAGGCACAGAGAGAAATCAGGAACACCAAAAAGCAAAGACATAAACACACAGAGAATGAGCCAGAGGAAGGAGATTGAGAGACTCACAGACACATAAAGAGAGAGAAAAGAGGGCAGAGGAGTGGTGAGAATGATGGAAGGGAGCAGAGAAAAGCACTAAAATTAGAGTCATGAGGGAGAGGCACAAGGACATAGAAAGATGGAGATGTGGGGATGAATTGCAGAGATTCCAAAGAGAACTAGAGAGACCGAGAGGCAGAGCAAGACAGATGATAGATGGATAGATATAGATAGATGATAAATAGGTAGATGATAGATAATAGGTTATAGATACATAGATGATGATTGATTGATTCATTAATAGATGAGACATAGAGATGATGATGATGAAGACAGATAGATAATACATAGAGATAGAGAGGCAGACATAGAGAAATCATAGAGAGAGAGAGATGATACACAGATATAGATAATAGATGATTGATGGATAGATAGAAAATTGATAGATAAATAGATGATATATAGATATAGATGACAGGTAGAGAATTTGTAGATAGGCACGGAATAGATAAATAGATAGATCGATAGATAATAGATAGAAATATGCAGAAAGTTATGAACAGGACACAAAGTGAGAAACTCAGAATTAAAAAAAGTAACATCAAGTGAACCAATCCAAGGAGAGTCAGAGAGAATAAAACAATCCAAAAAGAGAAAACATATCTAGAGGTGGGGAAGTGAGGTCAGAGACCTAGAGAGACAGAGAAGGTGGAAGGAGGAAATAGACGTGAAGAGAGATGGGGTGGAGGGTGAGAGAGAGAGAGAGAGAGCATTAGGTCACAGAGCAGGGGAGTGAGTTCTCAGCTCAGGTGAAGGGAGCTGTGACAAGGAAGATCCTCCCTGAGGAAAATGCCTCTTCTCCTTCCAGGTCTATATGAGAAACCTTCTCTCTCAGCCCAGCCGGGCCCCACGGTTCTGGCAGGAGAGAGCGTGACCTTGTTCTGCAGCTCCCGGAGCTCCTATGACATGTACCATCTATCCAGGGAAGGGGAGGCCCATGAACGTAGGCTCCCTGCAGGGCCCAAGGTCAACGGAACATTCCAGGCCGACTTTCCTCTGGACCCTGCCACCCACGGAGGGACCTACAGATGCTTCGGCTCTTTCCATGACTCTCCATACGAGTGGTCAAAGTCAAGTGACCCACTGCTTGTTTCTGTCACAGGTGAGGAAAGCCCATGGCTGTCCCATGTCCTATGATCCTAGAGCCTTAGCTGAGGAGCTTCCTGCTGAGGATGGAGAGAAGCATGGACAGATGCAGAGAGAAGACGCAGCCTCGGTGTGAGGGAGGGATCAGGGCACAGGATGGCAGACAGGGCACCTCCAAACCCTCCTACATGGCCTGCATGGAGGCCCGCGGCCAGGGCTCCAGGCACCCAGGCAGATGGAGAAAGCGGTCAGGAGAGACCCAGAGGAGGGAGACTGGGCTCAGTTTGGGGAGATCAGAGGTTCCCTCAGCCCCTCAACATTACCCATTTCCCAGAAGCCCATCCTGGCCTCTCACCCACACAGAGATGTCATCACCAGCAATCCCTACACCCTTTACTTTTCTTTGAAGAAATATTTATTGAGGATAAATATACCTATATAGCTTACCACCTTTAACATTTTTTTTTGAGGTGGAGTCTAGCTCTGTCCCCTATGCTGGAGTGCAGTGGCACAATCTCAGCTCACTGCAACCTCCGCCTCCTGGGTTCAAGCGATTCTCCTGCCTCAGCCACCTGAGTAGCTGGTGCTACAGGCACGCACCACCATGCCAGGCTACTTTTTGTATTTTTAGTAGGGAGGTGGTTTCACCATGTTGGTCGAGCTGGTCTCGAACTCCTGACCACATGATCCACCCGCATCAGCCTCCCAAAGTGCTGGGATTACAGGCATGGGCCACCGCACCCAGCCACATTTACCATTTTTAAGTGTAAAGTCTAGTGGTCATAAATACATTTATATATATATATATACATTTTTTTTACCCTCCACCCTTTTCTTCCTGTCCTCCAGTAGCCACCATTCTACTCTCTACCTTCATGAGATCCACCTTTTAGCTCCTGTATATGGGTAAGAAATGGGAATCTTTGTAATGACCTCCAGTTCCATCCATGTGGCTGCAAATGACAGGATGTTATTCTTTCTATGGATGAGTAGTCTCCACTGTGCGTATGTACTACATTCTCTCTATCCATTCACCCACTGATGGGCAGGTAGGTTGACTCCTCATCTTGGCTACTGTGAACAGTGCTGCACCAATCATACGAGTGCAGATATCACTTCGATATATTGATTTACTTTGCTTTGGATATAAACCCAGTAGTGAAATTGCTGGATACTATGAAAGTTCTCTTTTTTTTTTTTTTCTTTTTTGAGAAAGAGTTTCCCTCCTTAGCCCAAGCTGGAGTCAAAGTGGTGCGACCTTGGCTCATTGCAACCTCCGCCTCCTGGGTTCCAATGATTTTCCTGCCTCAGCCTCCCTAGTAGCTGGGATTACAGGTGCACGCCACCATGCCTGGCTACTTTTTGGTTTTTTTAGTATAGATGCGGTTTCCCCATGTTGGCTGGGCTGCTCTCAAACTCATGACCTCAACTGAGGTGCCCGCCTCAGTCTCCCAAAGTGCCGGGATTACAGGCCTGATCCACCACACCCAACCTCTTTTTAGTTCTTTAAAGGACTTCCATACTTTTCTCCGTAATCGCTGTACTAATTTACACTCCTCCCAACAGGGTACCAGGGTTCTCCTTTCTCTACCACCTTGCCAGCATTTCTTTTGCCTGTCTTGCAGCTAAAAGCCATTTTATTTTATTTCATTTTATTTTGAGATGGAGTTTCGCTCTTGTCACCCAGGCTGAGTGCAGTGGTGCGATCTCGGCTCACCGCAACCTCCACCTCCCAGGTTCAAGCGATTCTCCTGCCTCAGCCTCCCGAGTAGCTGGAATTACAGGCACACGCCACCACGCCCTACTAATTTTTGTATTTTTAGTAGAGACAGCGTTTCTCTATGTGGGTCATACTGGTCTCAAACTCCCGACCTTATGAGATTCACCCACCTCAGGCTCTCAAAATTCTAGGATGACAGACGTGAGCCACCTCGCCCGGCCTAAAAGCCATTTTAATGGAGTGAGATGAAAACTCACTTTGATTTTAATTTGCGTTTCTCTGATGATGAGTGATACTGAGCAGTTTTTCGTATGTGGGGAAATTTCATGTCTTTTGCTCCTTTTTCAATTAAATCATTTGTTTTATTGAGTTGTTTGAGCTTCTTATATTTCTAGTTATTAATCCCATCTCAGATGCATAGTTTGCACATATTTGCTCCCAATCTGTGGGTTGTCTCTTCACTTTGTTGGTTTATTTTTAGCAGTGCAGAAGTTGCTTAGTTTGAGGTAATCCCAATGGTCTATTTTTGCTTCGATTACTTGTGTTTTCAAGGTTTAAAACAAAATGTCTTTCTTCAGACAAATGTCCTGGAGCATTTCCCCAATATTTTGTTCTACGTGTTTCATAGGTTCAGGCCTTAGACTCACATCTTTAATCCATTTTCATTTGATTTTTGTGTATGGTGACAGGTAGAGGTGCAGTTTCATTCCTCTGCATGTCGATGTCCAGGTTTCCCTGCACTGTTTATTGAAAAGACTGTCCTTTCCTGATTGTGAGTTCTTGGCACCTTTGTCAAAGTCCATTGGATGGGCTGGGCTTGGTAGCTAACACCTGCAATTTCAGCACTTTGGGAGGCCGAGGCGGGTGGATTACCTGAGGCCAGGAGTTCAAGATCAGTCTGGACGACGTGATGAAACATCGTCTCCACTAAAAATATAAAAATTAGCTGAGCATGGTGGTCAGCACCTGTAATACCACTACTCAGGAGTTTGAGGCAAGAGAATGATTGAACCCAGGAGGCTGAGGTTGCAGTGAACTGAGATTGCACCTCTGCACTCCAGCCTGAGTGACAGAGCAAGACTCCATCTCAAAAGAAAAAATAAAAACCATTGGATGTAAATGCATGGAATATATCTGTGTTATTCATTCTGCTCCATTGTTCTATGTGCCTTTCTTTATGCCAATGTCATGCTGTTTTGCTTA
The DNA here is from genome assembly GCF_000001405.40 of Homo sapiens. Classification (NCBI taxonomy): domain Eukaryota; kingdom Metazoa; phylum Chordata; class Mammalia; order Primates; family Hominidae; genus Homo; species Homo sapiens. The sequence continues at coordinate 123,517 of NT_187684.1, read as the reverse complement.
CTACAGCTCTGTAACATATTTTGAGATCAGGTAGTGTGATGCTCCTGTTTTCTCTTTATACCTTGAAGTCTCAAGACAGTGGGTGTCACATAAAAAAATTATGGAAAAAAGGATCCCAGGACTCCCAGGGCCCAATATTAGATAACAGAGTGTTGGCCATGAACCATCCTCAAAGATTTCCACTGAGTAGAGGACAGACACCCTCATTTCCTCACCTCTCTCCTGTCTCGTGTTCTAGGAAACTCTTCAAATAGTTGGCCTTCACCCACTGAACCAAGCTCCGAAACCGGTGAGTACAGAACCCTCTTATATCCGCTTTTGGAAACCTGGGGAGGTGGAAACCTTGGATTCAGGCGTTGACTCAGCATCTCACAGCTCTGACATTGTACCCCTGTCTTCCACCATCTCCGAACTCCAGATACTCCAACAGCGAAAGGGATCTGGGCCCAACACAGGGCTCAGTGAAATCTCTTCATCCCTCATTTTATGGAGCTGAGACCTCCTACAAGCTAGAAGAATGATTGCCAATCTGACATCCTTCTCAGGAAAAATGCAATGTTTGTTCTGCCTGCATTCCTAACTGGAGGATAAATTCCTGGAGACTTGAGAGAGGGAAGGGAAGGGAACATCTGATGAGGGCGAGGTGTTTTAGAGAAGTTCCACTTGCCAAGGAATGAGCTCCTGTAGGTCATGAAGCAACCCTGGCTGACTCCGCAGAGAAAGCGCCTTGCCGTAACAGAGAACAGAGCTCATGCACGCACACTTCGACTCACTGACTCATTCAGCCACGGCCCCATGCTCAGGCTGTGCAGTGTGGAAGCTTTTCCTATTGTTGCCATAACAAATTTCCACAAGATTCGTGGGTGAAAACAAAACGGTTTTTTAATTATCTTACAGTGCTCTAGCTCAAAGTATGAAGTGCATCTCACTGGGCTAAAATCAAGGCGACAGCAAGGCTGCCTTCCCTCTGAGGGTTCCAGGCAAGAATCTGCTTCTCACTTGTCCCAGCTTCTAGAGGCTCCCACATTCCTTCGCTCCTGGTCCCCTTCCTCCTTCCTCAAAGCCCACAAAGGCTGGTCACATCTCACGTGGCATCACTCAGACCCTTCTTCCTTACCACACCTCTTTATCTGAATGCTGCTCTCCCTTCTTCCTCATCTTTTGAAAACTTGGGGATTCTATTGGGTTCACCAAGATGAAAATCCATCATAATCTCCAGGAAATCATTCAGGATACCCTTGTTTTAAGTTCAGCTGATTAGCAACCATAATTCCATCTGCAATCTTCATTCCTCCTTTCCATGTAAAATAAGATATTCACAAGCTATGGAGGCTAGGACAGGGACATTTTGGGGTGGGACAGCATTCTCCTACCTTCCACAAACAGTGAACAAGATGCATTTGGCCTCTGCCCTTGGGACACTGATATTGCAGATGGTTAAATGGGAGGGCAGAAAATGAATGCACAAGTGGACCAATAAATGAATGATCCATTGGGAAGCATCTGTGTATGAAATCTATTTGTTTGTTTCTTCGTTTGTTTATTGAGACAGAGTCTCCCTCTGTCTTCCAGGCTACAGTGCAGTGTCACCATCTTGGCTCACTGCAACCTGCACCTTCTGGATCCAAGTGATTCTCCTGCGTCAGCCTCTCGAGTAGCTGGGATTACAGGCAACTGCCACCATGCCCGGCTAATTCTTTTTGTATATTTTTTGTAGAGGATGTTTCACCATCTTCGCCAAGCTTCTCTGAAACTCCCAACCTCAAGTGATCCGACCGTCTCAGCATCCTAAAGTACTGGGATAACTGGCGTGAGCCACTGTGCCCAGCCAGAATTTAAAATAAATAATACATAATGCTGAGTGTATGATTTTGGGTGACAGAGAAGATCTCACTAATCAGATATTTGTGACATTAATGAAAAACACGGATTGAACCCCTGAAAGATTGGCGGAAGGATTTTCCACACACAGCTGTCAGCCGTGAAGGCAGAAAGCTGAAAACAATCTGATGTGGAAGGAAGAGGCTCTGCCTCAAATGCTGGGAATGAGATGGGGAGAATGACAAGACGACTGTGGAGAGACGGAGAGCACACTGGGTACACAGGAAACTAAGGAGCAACAAGGAGTGTGTGTTTGACACTCACAGCCATTGGATTCACCTCGGGGTAGCCAGGAATCCCTACATGATTAATAGTGACTGACATGAAAATAAGGGAGGCCCAGGTGCGTAACTGGAATCTAGGAGACTGTGGAAAAGGCAATTCCCGCCTCACTGGTGAAATGTGGTGCTGATTTAGACCCTAACTGGGTGAAGCAGATGGATATAAGATATGCTTGTGAGGTGGAATCATTGGCTGGAAAGGCTTGCTGGGTATGATTTTCCTAGTTGTCTAATCCTCGCTTAATTTCTTTCTGAGCTTTATTCCTACTACACATAAATCAATACCTGGCAAAGGAGTGACAGATATATGAGGGGTGGTGGAAATGAAGGGACCTATTATAGCATAATATACAAGTCTGTGAACGGTGGCTCACGCCTGTAACCCAGCACTGCAGGAGGCCAAGGCGGGTGGATCACACGAAGTCAGCAGTTCGAGACCAGCCTGGCCAACATGGTGAAACCCTGTCTCTAGGAAAAACACAAAAATTAGCCGAACATGGTGGTGCATCCCTGTAATGCCAGCTCCTACTCTGGAGGATGAAGCAGGAGAATGACTTCAACCCAGGAGGTGGAGTTTGCAGTGAGTGGAGATTGCATCACTGCACTCCAGCCTGGGTGACACAAGGAGACTCCGTCTCAAAAAATAAAAATAAGAAATGCATAAATATAAATATAATATAACACACGCAAATGACAAAGGGACCTGAATTCCAATCATGATTTTTCTATTTCTCTATAATTACTTCTTTGATCCTTTATCTTATCCATTAGGCAATGAGCCTAAAACCTCTTCCCTATTTGGCTTTCTGTGAGCATGAGATCATATAGAAAATGTGAAAGCCCGCTGAATCCTCCAGCACAGATCCTGGAATACACAAAGTGCTCTGTTCATCACAAAAAAAACATGCCCTCTCACCCAAATCCCCCACCTCACCCCTACTTCCAATCATCTGTGGAGATTCAGATAGGCCATGGGGAGGTAAATTCTAATACTCCTTGGAGTGAGTCCAGATCTTGGAATCAGAGATCAGCGTCAGCACTAGCTCCTGCTCCCCTTTCCTACTAATTCACAGGAGGACAGGTGGTATTGAAGCAATAGATGGCCGAGGGTGTGGTCCTTCCCCCAGCCTCTGGGGTAGAACAGCAGCCTAACATGTGTCTCCTGAGATCACAAAGAGTAGCACGTTTCACATGGGCTTCAACACTATTTCCTGGCCATTTGACATAAGAGAATTCTACTTCGCTTTTTTTATCTTGATTTCACTTTTGTTTCCTTTTCTTGGAGAATGCAAGTTGTTTGACTCAAGAATGCCGTGGATGTATAAATCCTAAAGCACATTCGCTGTGTATCAATCCCAGTGCAGTCTTCCCAGAGAAGACTCTAAACACCTCCTGGACTGCACCTGGGCCTATGCCAATTCCTATCACTCACCGTCACTCCAGGAAGACAGAACACACAGAGAATACATTACACAGGCAGGTTCATTACTAACAGATAAGCAGCGAGTGACAACAGAAGCCTACATTTCAATGTGAGCCAGTCCCTCAAGGCTCAGAAAAGCTGCTCGGGACATATGGAGTCACCCCATTTGCAGTGTAGCTGGGGGAAGCCAGAAAGCAGCCCAGCCTGGGTTTTGTACCCTGGAGCCACAGGAAGCACTCAGCTAAAGCACTGCATGACGCCTTCCTCCAGGAAGAACAGGAAGACAGCCCAGGCTGTTCTGAGACATTCCTCCTGATCTCAGGACGTTGCTGTCGTAGTTTTTTTTTGTTGCTCTAAAGGAAAACTTGAGCCTCGGTAACTTCTAAAGAAAAGAGATCGGTTTGCCTCACCGTTCTGCAGGCTGTACTGGAAGCATGGCACCAGAATCTATTTCTTGTGACGGCCTCAGGCTGCTCCCACTCTGGCAGAAGGGAAGGAGGGTCTGTCTGTGCAGAGACCGCAGAGATCACACGGCAAGAGAGAGAGTAAGGGGGAGGGGGAGCGATGGAGCTTCCAAGCTCTTTTGAACAACCAGCTCTCCGGGAACTAATAGAGGGGGAACTTGCTAACCCCGTCTCCTTGGGACAGCATTGTTCTGTTCATGATGGATCCACCTCCATGACCCAAACACCTCCCAAGAGGCCCAACCTCCCACAGTGGGGGTGAAATTTCCATGTGAGGTTTGAAGGGGTCAGACATCTCAACTAAAGTAGTTGTATCCTCAGCACGTTCTATGGTTACTATGAGAGCTATAATTGAGAAAGCAGGGGAAAGCTAGGTCTCCCACCATTTGGGTGCTTGTCCTAAAGAGACGTTGTATGTGGTTACCTGTCAATCAAGAAATGCGAGACAATTCATAAAGAGGAACTGCTATGATTAGCTTCTTATTGGTGTCTCCTCTTCTTCCAGGTAACCCCAGACACCTACACGTTCTGATTGGGACCTCAGTGGTCAAACTCCCTTTCACCATCCTCCTCTTCTTTCTCCTTCATCGCTGGTGCTCCAACAAAAAAAGTAAGTCTCACGAAGCAGAGGCCAGAGAGCTCAGGGCCATGTGGGGAAGCAGGATGGTAGCACGCGGGTGTGTGTTCCTCACAGGCAGGATGGTCCCTGGCCCAAGGCAGGAGCCACAGAGGCAGGACTTTCTAGAGAGAGCACCAGATTCCCTTCCCCTGCCTTCAGCTCACAGACCATTGCCTGATTCTGAACTGTACCCTCACGTCCCCTGCAGCCACTCACATCCAGGAGAAGGTTCCATGACAGGCAGAAAGTGGGAGATAGAATCAATGGGATGGGAACTCAGAGCTATTCATGGGATGGGTCCTTGAGCTCAGAGAGATAGAATGTCTGAGTCTGCTGTTGGCAACTGAGGGACCTCAGGCACCTATGGCCTCCCCCTGTTTGTTGGTATCTGCTTATGAAATGAGGACCCAGAAGTGCCCTCCGAGCTGTTTTGTTGACTTCCATCTTCTACAGATGCATCTGTAATGGACCAAGGGCCTGCGGGGAACAGAACAGTGAACAGGGAGGTAGGTGCTCCTCGGCCCAGCCTCGTGGCTAGTCTTATTCCCAAAGAGTCCTGAAAAATGTGAGCACCCTCCCTCACTCAGCATTTCCCTCTCTCCAGGATTCTGATGAACAGGACCATCAGGAGGTGTCATACGCATAATTGGATCACTGTGTTTTCACACAGAGAAAAATCACTCCCCCTTCTCAGAGGCCCAAGACACCCCCAACAGATACCAGCATGTACATAGAACTTCCAAATGCTGAGTCCAGATCCAAAGCTGTCTTCTGTCCACGAGCACCACAGTCAGGCCTTGAGGGGATCTTCTAGGGAGACAACAGCCCTGTCTCAAAACCGGGTTGCCAGCTCCCATGTACCAGCAGCTGGAATCTGAAGGCATCAGTCTTCATCTTAGGGGATCGCTCTTCCTCACACCACGAATCTGAACATGCCTCTCTCTTGCTTACAAATGTCTAAGGTCCCCACTGCCTGCTGGAGAGAAAACACACTCCTTTGCTTAGCCCACAATTCTCCATTTCACTTGACCCCTGCCCACCTCTCCAACCTAACTGGCTTACTTCCTAGTCTACTTGAGGCTGCAATCACACTGAGGAACTCACAATTCCAAACATACAAGAGGCTCCCTCTTAACACAGCACTTAGACACGTGCTGTTCCACCTTCTCTCATGCAGTTCCACCTCCCCTCAGACTATCTTTCAGCCTTCTGTCAGCAGTAAAACTTATAAATTGTTTTTAGTAATTTCAATGTAGTTTTCCCTCCTTCAAATAAACATGTCTGCCCTCATGGTTTCGGTAATGGGACTCTTTTCTTGCCTAAGGCTTCCGGTGTTATCATTACCATGTCCACATAACCCCATCTGTTCTCCACTGGGTTCTCACCCCTGGACTCTGAGCTTCTGGAACAGGGTGGACCCTGACTTGTCTCTGAGACTCCAATTTCCATCCAAAGATGCAGCACATAGGAAGTTCCAAGGATCGTGAATCACATGAACAAGTGATATTCTTACTCTCTGCAGACCTGGAAAGCTGGCAGAGTCATTCCATGATGAAACATTTGTAGAGTCATAGGCCTTGTTAGTCTCATCTCCACGGGGACACATGTCAACGCATCATCTTTCATACTATAAATATACAGTCGCTCCTCCGTATCTGTGGGGTTTACAGGTGTTTATTGAACCAAGTATAAATCAAAAATATTCAGAGAAAAAGCCCACAAAGTTCCAAAAAGCAAAACTGTGTTGAATGCACACAAATGAGGTGGTGTATAGGCTGTATCAGGAATTATAAGTAATCAAGAGATGATTTCATGTATACAGGAGGATGTGCATGGGTTATATCCAAATGCTGTGTCATTTTATGTAAGAGGCTTGAGCATCTGCAGATTTTAGTATCTGAGTGGAGATCCTGAAACCAATCACCCATGAATAGTGAAGGATGACGGTATAGGACTTTTATTTCTCAAATTTAAATATAAATCATAAAAAATGTACAATAACTAGATAAAAACTAAGAAGTGTTTTTATAGTGTGAGAATAAGTTTAGATTTATTATTTCCTATGTGTAACCCTTTGGTTTAATATTATTTATTGAGAAGACATTCTATGCCACCTTAAACCACACGGCAGCCTTTGTCAACTAAAAAGGGACTGTGTGTACACGGATGTGTATTTTAGACACTGTCTCTGCTAAACGGCTCTCTGTGTCCACATTCTTGAGGATGCTCCACTTTATGTAGCCCCATAGAACCCTTTAAATTTAGTAGCCAGAGGCCTCTAATTTGTTATTATAGGCTATTTGCTATTTTTATTTTCTTGAGGCGGAGTCTTGCTCTGTCGCCCAGGCTGGACTGCAGTGGTGCAATCTCAGCTCACTGCAACCTCCGCCTCCCAGGTTCAAGCGATTCTCGTGCCTCAGCCTCTTGGGTAGCTGGTGTTACAAGTTCCTGCCACTGGGCACGGCTAATTTTTGGATTTTTAGCAGAGACACGGTTTCACTGTGTTGCCAGGCTGCTCTCAAACTCCTTATATCAGTTGATCCGCCCACCTCGGCTTCCCGACGTGCTGGGGGAAACTTGATTTTCTATAGCATTATGTTACTGGATATTTCTGTAAAATTTAAAATGAGGGAGGGAGAGAGACAGAGAGAGAGCAAACTCCAGAGTTGGGACTCTGGAAACTTGGGTCATGAGACAAATTTTAGATAAATCTACAAAAATCCAGAGTTTAAATGTGTGGTTTTTGCTGATAACGTACAATTCAAAGATTGTAAATAATTGCATAATCCTTCCCTGGGAATTTAAATCATTTTAACTGGTTCTGCTGTAATACTAGAAATACAAGCATGAAAAATTCTAATGGTTTATTAGTCACAATGACTCTGAAAACCTTAATAATACCTATTAGATATTTTGCATATTACACAGGAAGAAGAGTTTGAATCTCAGATAAAAACAATAAAAATACATGAAAAGTCTTTCACGTTAGCACAGATTTTAGGCATCTCGTGTTCAGGAGGTTGGATCTGAGACGTGTTTTGAGTTGGTCATAGTGAAGGACGCTAGGTGTAAATTCTAGTGAGAACAATTTCCAGGAAGCCGTGTTCCGCTCTTGAGCGAGCAACCACTGGGCCTCATGCAAGGTAGAAAGAGCCTGCGTACGTCACCCTCCCATGATGTGGTCAACATGTAAACTGCATGGGCAGGGCGCCAAATAACATCCTGTGCGCTGCTGAGCTGAGCTGGGGCGCGGCCGCCTGTCTGCACCGGCAGCACCATGTCGCTCACGGTCGTCAGCATGGCGTGTGTTGGTGAGTCCTGGAAGGGAATAGAGGAAGGGAGTGTGGGGTTGGAGATCTGGGCCCAGAGGTGGAGATATAGGCCTGGAGGTGGAGTTGTGGGCCTGGAGTGGAGATCTGGGCCTGGAGTGGATATATGGGCCTAGAGATGGAGTGATGGGCCTAGAAGTGGAGATCTGGGCCTGGAGTGCCGATAGGAACCTGGAGGGGAGATAGGAGCCTGGAGTGGAGATATGGGCCTGGAGGTGGAGTTATAGGCCTATAGTAGAGATATGGGCCTGGAGTGGAGATATGGGCCAGGAGTGGAGATATGGGCCTAGAGGTGGATATCTGGGCCTAGAGTGGAAATATGGGCCTAGGATGGAGATATGGGCCTGGTTGTGGAGATATGGGACTGGAGAGGAGATATGGGCCTAGAGTGGAGATATGGGCTTGGGGTGGAGATCTGGGCCTGGGGTGGAGATATGGGCCTGGAGGTGGAGTTACGGGCCTTCAGTAGAGATATGGGCCTGGGGTGGAGATATGGGCTTGGGGTGGAGATCTGGGCCTGGAGTGGAGATATGGGCCTGGAGGTGGAGTTACTGGCCTTCAGTAGAGATATGGGCCTGGTGTGGAGATATGGGCCTGGATTGGAGATATGGGCCTAGGGTGGAGATCTGAGCCTGGATTGGAGATATGGGCCTGGATTGGAGATATGGGCTTACAGTGGAGATCTTGGCCTGGATTGGCGATATGGGCCTGGATTGGCGATATGGGCCTATGATGGAAATATCGGCCTGGAGTGGAGATATGGGCCTGGAGTGGAGATACAGGCCTAGGGTGGAAATATTGGCCTGGAGTGGAGATATGGGCTTGTGGTGGGGATATGGGCTTGTGGTGGGGATCTGGGCTTGGAGGCTGGGTCTCTGCACAGCCGACAGCCCTGTTCTTGGGTGCAGGTAGGCACTGAGGGTGAGTTTAACTTCAGCCCAGGAAGGGCCTGCCTACCAAGACTCACAGCCCAGTGAGGGCAGCAAGGGAGGGCTGGTTTGCCTGCAGATGGATCGTCCATCATGATCTTTCTTTCCAGGGTTCTTCTTGCTGCAGGGGGCCTGGCCACATGAGGGTGAGTCCTTCTCCAAACCTTCGGGTGTCATCTCCCCACATAAGAGGATTTTCCTGAAACAGGAGGGAAGTCCTGTCGGGGAGCCTCTCATAAACTAGGAAGAGGGGACCCTGGGGTGCTCGGCCCACAGTTCCGACCTCGCCTCCCTGGCCTTTCATTCCCTTGGCAGAGTCAAGTTCTGTGGGGACCAGGGTTAGACTGGGGTGCTCAAAGCTGGGGTGCGTGGTGGGGAAGTGGTAGGAACAGCAGATCCTCTGAGGACAAAGGTGTTACTCACACTTCAGCGTTTCCATGACGGTAGGGGCTGCAGTGTGGCTGCTGTCACTCCACCAGAAGAGGTGGGAAACCACAGCCATGGCCCTGACATTCCAAATCCTCTGATGGGGGCTCAGTTGCTTATTTTCATTCAGGCATCGGCTGATATTCCATTCTCAAAGGACATGCCCTCCACCCCATGTCTACCCTGTGTTGTTTTATGTGAGTAATCTTACAGTATTAAAATCTAGTAGGAGTCTCTTACTCAGCACTTGCTCAAAGTTCTCAGCTGACACTTTTGTTGTAGGGAGACACCTTGTGTTTGCGGGATGGGTCCTTCCTTTAGCCCTGGGCACCAAGGTGTGATAGCAGCCATAGAAACTTGGAAAGCGAGGAGAATCTTCAGAGCACAGGGAGGGAGGGGTGGCTCCACATCCTCCTCTCTAAGGCGGTGCCTCCTTCTCCCCAAGGTGGTCAGGACAAGCCCTTGCTGTCTGCCTGGCCCAGCTCTGTGGTGCCTCCAGGACATGTGATTCTTCGGTGTCATTCTTATCTTGGGTTTAACAACTTCAGTCTGTAAAAGGAAGATGGGGTGCCTGGCACTGAGCTCTACAACAGAATATTCTGGAAGAGCCTTTTCATGGGCCCTGTGACCCCAGCACACACAGGGACGTACAGATGTCGGGGTTCACACCCACACTCCCCCAGTGGGTGGTCGGCACCCAGCAACCCCCTGGTGATCATGGCCACAGGTCAGAGGGCTCCTGTCTTGGATTCTCCTTTCCCACCTCCTGAATCCCAGAGCTTCTGGTGGGCGTGTCCTTGAGGGTCCCATCACCCAGGCCCTGACTATATTTGGGGTAAAGGGGGATTGAATACAGGGAAATGGGTGCTGTGGTGGGAAGAATAATTGTCCCCAGTGATGACTACATTCTAATCCCTGGAGTCTGTGACTATTTATGTTATAGGGGAAGGAACTGAAGGGGAAGATGGAGCTCAGGTTGTTGATGAGTTGACCTTGAGATGGGGAGACAGCCTGGACTGTCCCGCTGGGCTCAGTGTAATCACAAGGGTCCACATGAAAGGAGGAGGAAGAGGGGAGTGGGGATTAGAGCAGCGCAATGGGAGACTCCACCAGCTTTGAAGGTGGAGGAAGTCCAGGAGCCATGAATGCAGGTGGCCTGTAGAGGCTGGAAAAGTCAAGGAAATGATTCTCCAGAGTCTCCAGAGGGAACGAAGCCCTGCAGATGCCTTGATTTTAGCCCAGGAAAAACAGGGTCCTATTTCTGTCTCCAGTAGTGAAATGGGTCAGTGTGCTCTCTCCTGCTGCCATGCTTCTGATAATTTTCTACAGCAGCAACAGGAAACCAACACTGGAACCCAGGTCAAGGACAAGTTAAGAAACAACACAAGGATAGCCGGGTGTGGTGGCAGGCGCATGTAATCCTAGCGACTTGGGAGGCTGAGGGCAGGAGAATCACTTGAACCCAGGAGACAGAAGTTGCAGTGACCCTAGACCACACCACTTCACTCCAGCTGGGGTGAAGGAGTGAGACTCTGATCTCCATAATTAATTAATTAATTAAAGGAACCAAACAAGGGGAAGGTTGGCTACACCGAGATCAGCAAGTGTGGGATGATGATGCCACCACCAGGCTCCATCCACATAGGGAGGGGTTGATACTCCTCAAACCAGCACCAGGAGCCAGCCTATGGAAGCTGGCACCATGGAGAAGGCACAGGCATGGCAAGAGTGGCTCCCAGTCCCGACCAGGAACAGGGTGTGTGGACACTGCTGCCTGCCTTATTCATCAGTTCATACCTCCTGCCAAGGATTCCAATTCATCCAAAAGAGATTGAACCAGGCTGATAAGAGGCTGGATGTGCAGCCTATCCTGGTTCCTCTTTCACCCCCACATAAACAGCAGGAAAGACATTAGTGTGAAATAGATACAACACCCCAAGAGATGAGGCTAAGCCCAGTGGGAAGGGAATCAGAGGCGACTAGAGACAGAGAGACAGAGAAGAGGGAGGGAGACAGATGGAAGGACCTGCACCAGGAGTTATGGGCACAGAAAAGAACATGAAGACACAGAGAGGAAGGAGAGAGACAGACACCAGCAAGGGGAAGCCTCACTCATTCTAGGTGCCATGGATGGGATGATAAAGAGAGACACCTTCTAAACTCACAACCTCTCTTCCTAGGAGTCCACAGAAAACCTTCCCTCCTGGCCCACCCAGGTCCCCTGGTGAAATCAGAAGAGACAGTCATCCTGCAATGTTGGTCAGATGTCAGGTTTGAGCACTTCCTTCTGCACAGAGAGGGGACATTTAACGACACTTTGCACCTCACTGGAGAGCACCATGATGGGGTCTCCAAGGCCAACTTCTCCATCGGTCCCATGATGGAAGACCTGGCAGGGACCTACAGATGCTACGGTTCTGTTACTCACTCCCCCATCAGTTGTCAGCTCCCAGTGACCCTCTGGACATCGTCATCACAGGTGAGAGTGTCCGGACATTCTTCTCATTGTCATTGGGATGCAGAGTGAATGATCCACGACTTGGAACCCCCAGGTAGTTGTAAGGAAGATGAGCTTGGTATTCTTATGGAGAGAGACTGACTTGGTGAGGTCTGTACCAACAGAGACAGAGAAACAGGAGACACAAGTACAGACCAGGTGTCATAACAGAGGACAGACACAGGGGCCATACCGGGAGTTAGAAAAGACAGAAGGAGTTAAAGGAGACAGACAGACAGACATGTCCCAGAGAGAGGTGTCCCTCCATGCTGACTTTGCTCAGAGACCTGGCACAGGTTAGAAGTTTCATTTCTGTTTTACCTCCACAAAGTGTTCTCTACCAGGAGAACCCAAGGACACCCATATTTCTGACCTGAGTTGGGCCCTGTGGCCTCAGGCCTTGTGGCACCTACAGATGCCGTGTTTATTCTCACACCTCTGCCTTCCATGTAATGGAGAGTAACCGTCCCAGGATATCATGGCCCCAGAACACCAACCCCTGTATGCTGTGTGAACTTGTGGTCTCCAGACTGGATTCTGAGGCTCACATTCCAAATAACCCCACATATGAAAGGATCACTGAGAGGCACAGAGAGAAATCAGGGACACCAAAAAGCAAAGACATAAACACACAGAGAATGAGCCAGAGGAAGGAGATTGAGAGACTCACAGACACATAAAGAGAGAGAAAAGAGGGCAGAGGAGTGGTGAGAATGATGGAAGGGAGCAGAGAAAAGCACTAAAATTAGAGTCCTGAGGGAGAGGCACAAGGACATAGAAAGATGGAGATGTGGGGATGAATTGCAGAGATTCCAAAGAGAACTAGAGAGACCGAGAGGCAGAGCAAGACAGATGATAGATGGTTAGATATAGATAGATGATAAATAGGTAGATGATAGATAATAGGTTAAAGATACATAGATGATGATTGATTGATTCATTAATAGATGAGACATAGAGATGATGATGATGAAGACAGATAGATAATACATAGAGATAGAGAGGCAGACAGAAGTCATAGAGAGAGAGATGATACATAGATATAGATAACAGATGATTGATGGATAGATAGACAAGTGATAGATACATAGATGATATATAGATATAGATGACAGGTAGAGAATTTGTAGATAGGCACCGAATAGATAAATAGATAGATCGACAGATAATAGATAGAAATATGCAGAAAGTTATGAACAGGACACAAAGTGAGAAACTTAGAATTTAAAAAAGTAACATCAAGTGAACCAATCCAAGGAGAGTCAGAGAGAATAAAACAATCCAAAAAGGGAAAACATATCTAGAGGTGTGGAAGCGAGGTCAGAGACCTAGAGAGACAGAGAAGGTGGAAGGAGGAAATAGACATGAAGAGAGATGGGGTGGAGGGTGAGAGAGAGAGAGAGAGAGCATTAGGTCATAGAGCAGGGGAGTGAGTTCTCAGCTCAGGTGAAGGGAGCTGTGACAAGGAAGAGCCTCCGTAAGGAAAATGCCTCTTCTCCTTCCAGGTCTATATGAGAAACCTTCTCTCTCAGCCCAGCCGGGCCCCACGGTTCTGGCAGGAGAGAGCGTGACCTTGTCCTGCAGCTCCCGGAGCTCCTATGACATGTACCATCTATCCAGGGAGGGGGAGGCCCATGAACGTAGGTTCTCTGCAGGGCCCAAGGTCAACGGAACATTCCAGGCTGACTTTCCTCTGGGCCCTGCCACCCACGGAGGAACCTACAGATGCTTCGGCTCTTTCCGTGACTCTCCCTACGAGTGGTCAAACTCGAGTGACCCACTGCTTGTTTCTGTCACAGGTGAGGAAAGCCCATGGCTGTCCCATGTCCTATGATCCTAGAGCCTTAGCTGAGGAGCTTCCTGCTGAGGATGGAGAGAAGGATGAACAGATGCAGAGAGAAGACGAAGCTTGGGTGTGAGGGAGGGATCAGGGCACAGGATGGCAGACAGGGCACCTCCAAACCCTCCTACATGGCCTGCATGAAGGCCTGCGGCCAGGACTCCAGGCACCCAGGCAGATGGAGAAAGCGGTCAGGAGAGACCCAGAGGAGGGAGACTGGGCTCAGTTTGGGAAGATCAGAGGTTCCCTCAGCCCCTCAACATTACCCATTTCCCAGAAGCCCATCCTGGCCTCCCACCCACACAGGGATGTCATCACCTGCAACCCCTACACCGTTTACTTTTGTTTGAGAAATATTTATTGAGGATAAATATAACTATATAGCTTACCACCTTTAACATTTTTTTTTTTGAGGCGGAGTCTAGCTCTGTCCCCTATGCTGGAGTGCATTGGCACAATCTCAGCTCACTGCAACTTCCGCCTCCTGGGTTCAAGCGATTCTCTTGCCTCAGCCACCTGAGTAGCTGGTGCTACAGGCGCGCACCACCATGCCAGGCTACTTTTTGTATTTTTAGTAGAGAGGGGGTTTCACCATGTTGGTCAAGCTGGTCTCGAACTCCTGACCACGTGATCCACCCGCATCAGCCTCCCAAAGTGCTGGGATTACAGGCATGAGCCACCACGCCCAGCCACATTTACCATTTTTAAGTGTAAAGTCTAGTGGTCATAAATACATTAATATATATATATATACACATATTTTTTTTTCACCCTCCACCCTTTTCTTCCTGGCCTCTGGTAGCCACCATTCTACTCTCTACCTTCATGAGATCCACCTTTTAGCTCCTGTATATGGGTAAGAAATGGGAATCTTTGTAATGACCTCCAGTTCCATCCATGTGGCTGCAAATATCAGGATGTTATTCTTTCTATGGAAGAGTAGTCTCCACTATGCAAATGTACCACATTCTCTCTATCCATTCACCCACTGATGGGCAGGTAGGTTGACTCCACATCTTGGCTACTGTGAAGGGTGCTGCACCAATCATACGAGTGCAGATATCACTTCGATATATTGATTTACTTTCCTTTGGATATAAACCCAGTAGTGAAATTGCTGGATACTATGAAAGTTCTCTTTTTAGTTTTTCGTTTGTTGTTTTGTTTTTGTTTTTGAGACAGTTTCCCTCTGTGCCAGGCTGGAGTACAAGTGATATGATCTTGGCTCATTGCAACCTCTGCCTCCTGGGTTCAAATGATTTTCCTGCCTCAGCCTCCCTAGTATCAGGGATTATAGGCGCACGCCACCATGCCTGGCTACTTTTTGTTTTTTTTAGTATAGATGCGGTTTCCCCATGTTGGCTGGGCTGCTCTCAAACTCATGACCTCAACTGAGGTGCCCGCCTCGGTCTCCCAAAGTGCCGGGATTACAGGCCTGATCCACCTCACCCAATCTCTTTTTAGTTCTTTAAAGGACTTCCACACTTTTCTCCGTAATGGCTGTACTAATTTACACTCCTCCCAACAGGATACCAGGATTCTCCTTTCTCTAACACCTTGCCAGCATTTCTTTTGCCTGTCTTGCAGCTAAAAGCCATTTTATTTTATTTCATTTTATTTTGAGATGGAGTTTCGCTCTTGTCACCCAGGCTGAGTGCAGTGGTGCGATCTCGGCTCACCGCAACCTCCACCTCCCAGGTTCAAGCGATTCTCCTGCCTCAGCCTCCCGAGTAGCTGGAATTACAGGCACACGCCACCACGCCCTACTAATTTTTGTATTTTTAGTAGAGACAGTGTTTCTCCATGTGGGTCAGACTGGTCTCAAACTCCCGACCTTATGAGATTCACCCACCTCAGGCTCTCAAAGTTCTAGGATGACAGACGTGAGCCACCTCACCCGGCCTAAAAGCCATTTTAATGGGGTGAGATGAAAACTCACTTTGATTTTAATTTGCGTTTCTCTGATGATGAGTGATACTGAGCACTTTTTAGTATGTGGGGAAATTTCATGTCTTTTGCTCCTGTTTCAATTAAATCATTTGTTTTATTGAGTTGTTTGAGCTTCTTATATTTCTAGTTATTAATCCCATCTCAGATGCATAGTTTGCACATATTTGCTCCCAATCTGTGGGTTGTCTCTTCACTTTGTTGGTTTATTTTTAGCAGTGCAGAAGTTGCTTAGTTTGAGGTAATCCCAATGGTCTATTTTTGCTTCGATTACTTGTGTTTTCAAGGTTTAAAACAAAATGTCTTCCTTCAGACAAACGTCCTGGAGCATTTCCCCAATATTTTCTTCTACGTGTTTCATAGGTTCAGGCCTTAGACTCACATCTTTAATCCATTTTCATTTGATTTTTGTGTATAGTGACAGGCAGAGGTGCAGTTTCATTCCTCTGCATGTAGATGTCCAGGTTTCCCTGCACTGTTTATTGAAAAGACTGTCCTTTCCTGATTGTGAGTTCTTGGCACCTTTGTCAAAGTCCATTGGATGGGCTGGGCATGGTGGCTAACACCAGCAACTTCAGCACTTTGGGAGGCCAAGGCTGGTGGATCACCTGAGGACAGGAGTACAAGATTACTCTGGCCGACGTGATGAAACATCGTCTCCACTAAAAATATAAAAATTAGCTGAGCATGGTGGTCAGCACCTGTAATACCACTACTCAGGAGTTTGAGGCCAGAGAAGTGATTGAACCCAGGAGGCTGTGGTGGCAGTGAACCGAGATTGCACCTCTGCACTCCAGCCTGGGTGACAGAGCAAGACTCCATCTCAAAAGAAAAACAAAAAATACATTGGAGGTAAATGCATGGATTATATCTGTGTTATTCATTCTGCTCCGTTGTTCTATGTGCCTTTCTTCATGCCAATGTCATGCTGTCTTGCTTACTACAGCTCTGTAACATATTTTGAGATCAGGTAGTGTGATGCTCCTGTTTTCTCTTTATACCTTGAAGTCTCAAGACAGTAGCCGTCACATACAAAAATTACGGAAAAAAGGATCCCAGGACTCCCAGGGCCCAATATTAGATAACAGAGTGTTGGCCATGAACCAACCTCAAAGATTTCCACTGAGTAGAGGACAGACACCCTCATTTCCTCACCTCTCTCCTGTCTCGTGTTCTAGGAAACCCTTCAAATAGTTGGCCTTCACCCACTGAACCAAGCTCCGAAACCGGTGAGTACAGAACCCTCTTATATCCGCTTTTGGAAACCTGGGGAGGTGGAAACCTTGGATTCAGGCGTTGACTCAGCATCTCACAGCTCTGACATTGTACGCCTGTCTTCTACCATCTCCGAACTCCAGATACTCCAACAGCGAAAGGGATCTGGACCCAAAACAGGGCTGAGTGAAATCTCTTAATCTCTCATTTTATGGAGCTGAGATCTCCTACAAGCTAGAAAAATGATTGGCAATCTGACATCCTTCTCAGGAAAAATGCAATGTTTGTTCTGCCTGCATTCCTAACTGGAGGATAAATTCCTGGGGGCTTGAGAGAGGGAAGGGTAGGGAACATTTGATGAGGGCGAGGTGTTTTAGAGAAGTTCCACTTGCCCAGGAATGAATTACTGTTGGTCATGAAGCAACCCTGGCTGACTCAGCAGAGCAAGAGCTTTGCCTTAACAGAGAACGGAGCTCATGCACGCACACTTCGACTCACTGACTCATTCAGCCACGGCCCCATGCTCAGGCCGTGGAAAAGGCAATTCCCAGCACTGCAGGAGGCCAAGGCGGGTGGATCACTTGAAGTCAGGAGTTCCAGACCAGCCTGGCCAAAATGGTGAAACCCTGTCTCTATGAACAATACAAAAATTAGTCGAGCATGGTGGTGCATCCCTGTAATCCCAGCTCCTACTCTTGAGGATGAAGCAGGAGAATGACTTCAACCCAGGAGGTGGAGGTTGCAGTGAGTGGAGATTGCATCACTGCACTCCAGCCTGGGTGACACAAGGAGACTCCGTCTCAAAAAATAAAAATAAGAAATGCATAAATATAATAAAACACACACGAATGACAAAGGCACCTGAATTCCAATCATCATTTTTCTATTTCTCTATAATTACTTCTTTGATCCTTTGTCTTATCCATTAGGCAATGAGCCTAAAACCTCTTCCGTATTTGGCTTTCTGTGAGCATGAGACCATATAGAAAATGTGAAAGCCCGCTGAATCCTCCAGCACAGATCGTGGAATAGAGAAAGTGCTCTGTTCATCACAAAAAAAACTTGCCGTCTCACTCAAATCCCCCACTTCACCCCTACTTCCAATCACCTGTGGAGATTCAGATAGACCATGGGGAGGTAAACATTAATACTCCTTGGAGTGAGTCCAGATCTTGGAATGAGAGATCAGCACCAGCACTAGCTCCTGCTCCCCTTTCCTACTAATTCACAGGGGGACAGGTGGTATTGAAGCAATAGATGGTGGAGGGGGTGGTCCTTCCCCCAGCCTCTCAGGTAGAACAGCAGCCTAACATGTGTCTCCCGAGATCACAAAGAGTAGGACGTTTCACAGGGGCTTCAACACGATTTCCTGGCTGTTGGACATAAGATAACTCTATTTCGCTTTTTTATCTTGATTTCACTTTTGTTTCCTTTCCTTGGAGAACGCAAGTTGTTTGACTCAAGAATGCTGTGGATGTAGAAATCCTAAAGCACATTCGCTGTGTGTCAATCCCAGTGCAGTCTTCCCAGAAAAGACCCTAAACACCTCCTAGACTGCACCTGGGCCTACGCCAATTCCTATCACTCACCGTCACTCCAGGGAGACAGAACACACAGAGAATACGTTACATAGGCAGGTTCATTACTAACAGATAAGCAGCGAGTGAAAACAGAAGCCTACATTTCAATGTGAGCCAGTCCCTCAAGGCTCAGAAAAGCTACTCGGGACATATGGAGTCACCCCATTTGCAGTGTAGCTGGGGGAAGCCAGAAAGCAGCCCAGCCTGGGTTTTGTACCCTGGAGCCACAGGAAGCACTCAGCTAAAGCACTGCATGACGTCCTCCTCCAGGAAGAACAGGAAGACAGCCCAGGCTGCTCTGGGACGTTCCTCCTGATCTCAGGACGTTGCTGTCTTAGTCCATTTTTGTTGCTCTAAAGGAACACTTGAGCCTGGGCAACTTCTAAAGAAAAGAGATTGGTTTGTCTCACCGTTCTGCAGGCTGTACTGGAAGCATGGCACCAGCATCTATTTCTCGTGATGGCCTCAGGCTGCTCCCACTCTGGCAGAAGGGAAGGAGGGTCTGTCTGTGCAGAGACCACAGAGATCACACGGCAAGAGAGGTAGCAAGGGGGAGGGGGAGTGATGGAGCTTCCAAGTTCTTTTGAACAACCAGCTCTCCAGGAACTAATAGAGGGGGAACTTGCTAACCCCGTCTCCTTGGGACAGCATTGATCTGTTCATGATGGATCCACCTCCATGACCCAAACACCTCTCAAGAGGCCCAACCTCCCACAATGGGGGTGAAATTTCAATGTGAGGTTTGAAGGGGTCAAACATCTCAACTAAAGTAGTTGTATCCTCAGCACATTCTATGGTTACTTTGAGAGCTATAACTGAGAAAGCAGGAGAAAGCTGGGTCTCCCGCCATCTGGGTGCTTGTCCTAAAGAGGTGTTTTACGTGGTTACCTGTCAATCAAGAAATGCGAGACAATTCATAAAAAGGAACTGCTATGATTAGCTTCTTATTGGTGTCTCATCTTCTTCCAGGTAACCCAAGACACCTGCACGTTCTGATTGGGACCTCAGTGGTCATCATCCTCTTCATCCTCCTCCTCTTCTTTCTCCTTCATCGCTGGTGCTCCAACAAGAAAAGTAAGTCTTACGAAGGAGAGGCCAGAGAGCTCCGGGCCATGTGGGGAAGCAGGATGGGAGCACTCAGGTGTGTGTTCCTCACAGGTAGGATGGTCCCTGGCCCAAGGCAGCAGCCACAGAGGCAGGACTTTCTAGAGAGGGCACCAGACTCCCTGTCCCTGCCTTCAGCTCACAGACCGTTGCCTGATTCTGAACTGTATCCTCATGTCCCCTGCAGCCACTCACATCCAGGAGAAGGTTCCATGACAGGCAGAAAGTGGGAGACAGAATCAATGGGATGGGAACTCAGAGCTATTCATGGGATGGGTCCTTGAGCTCAGAGAGATAGAATGTCTGAGTCTGCTGTTGGCAACTGAGGGACCTCAGGCTCCTATGGCCTCCCCCTGTTTGTTGGTATCTGCTTATGAAATGAGGACCCAGAAGTGCCCTCCGAGCTCTTTTGTTGACTTCCGTCTCCTACACATGCTGCTGTAATGGACCAAGAGCCTGCAGGGAACAGAACAGCGAATAGCGAGGTAGGTGCTCCTCGGCCCAGCCTCGTGGCTAGTGTTATTCCCAAACAGTCCTGGAAAATGTGAGCACCCTCCCTCACTCAGGATTTCCCTCTCTCCAGGACTCTGATGAACAAGACCCTCAGGAGGTGACATACGTACAGTTGGATCACTGCGTTTTCACACAGAGAAAAATCACTCGCCCTTCTCAGAGGCCCAAGACACCCCCAACAGATACCAGAGTGTACACGGAACTTCCAAATGCTGAGTCCAGATCCAACGTTGTCTCCTGCCCATGAGCACCACAGTCAGGCCTTGAGGGGATCTTCTAGGGAGACAATAGCCCTGTCTCAAAACCGGGTTGCCAGCTCCCATGTACCAGCAGCTGGAATCTGAAGGCGTGAGTCTGCATCTTAGGGCATCGCTCTTCCTCACACCACAAATCTGAATGTGCCTCTCTCTTGCTTACAAATGTCTAAGGTCCCCACTGCCTGCTGGAGAGAAAACACACTCCTTTGCTTAGCCCACAATTCTCCATTTCACTTGACCCCTGCCCACCTCTCCAACCTTACTGGCTTACTTCCTAGTCTACTTGAGGCTGCAATCACACTGAGGAACTCACAGTTCCAAACATACAAGAGGCTCCCTCTTAACACGGCACTTAGACACGTCCTGTTCCACCTTCCCTCATGCTGTTCCACCTCCCCTCAGAGTATCTTTCAGCCTTCTGTCAGCAGTAAAACTTATATATTTTTTAAAATAATTTCAATGTAGTTTTCCCTCCTTCAAATAAACATGTCTGCCCTCATGGTTTCGGTAATGGGACTCTTTTCTTGCCTAAGACTTCCAGTGTTATCATTACCATGTCCACATAACCCCATCTGTTCTCCACTGGGTTCTCACCCCCGGACTCTGAGTTTCTGGAAGCAGGGTGGAGCCTCATTTGTCTCTGGGACTCCTATTTCCATCCAAAGATGTAGCACATAGGAGGTTCCAAGGATCGTGAATCACATGAACAAGTGATATTCTTACTCTCTGCAGACCTGGAAATCTGGCAGAGTCATTCCAAGATGAAACATTTGTAGAGTCATAGGCCTTGTTAGTCTCATCTACACAGGGACACATATCAACACATCATCTTTCACACTATAAATATACAGTCACTCCTCCATATCTGTGGGGTTTACAGTTCTTTATTGAACCGAGTATAAATCAAAAATATTCAGAGAAAGTATCCACAGAGTTACAAAAAGCAGAACTGTGTTGAATGGACACAAATGAAGCTGTGTGTAGGCTGCATCAGGAATTATAAGTAATCTAGAGATGATTTCATCTATACAGGAGGATGTGCATAGGTTATTTGCAAACTCTGTGCCATTTCATATAAGAGGCTTGAGCATCTACAGATTTTGGTATCTGAGTGGAGATCTCGAAACCAATCACCCAGGAATAGTGAAGGATGACCGTATATGACTTTTATTTCTCAAATTTAAATATAAATCATAAAAAATGTACAACTAGATAAAAACTAAGAAGTGTTTTTATAGTGTGAGTTAGATTTATTTTTTCCTAGGTATAACCCATTGGTTTAATATTATTTATTGAGAAGACATTCTATGCCACCTTAAACCACACGGCAGCCTTTGTCAACTCTAAAGGGACTGTGTGTACACGGATGTACTTTAGACACTGTTTCTGCTAAGGGGCTCTCTGTGTCCACACTCTTGATGATGCTGCACTTTATGTAGCCTTATAGAACCCTTTAAATTTAGTAGCCAGAGCTCTCTAATTTGTTATTATAGGCTATTTGCTTTTTTTTCTTGAGGCGGAGTCTTGCTCTGTCGCCCAGGCTGGACTGCAGTGACACAATCTCAGCTCACTGCAACTTCTGCCTCCCAGGTTCAAGCGATTCTCGTGCCTCAGCCTCTTGAGTAGCTGGCGTTACAGGTGCCTGCCACCAGGCACGGCTAATTTTTGGATTTTTAGCAGAGACACGGTTTCACTATATTGGCCAGGCTGCTCTCAAACTCCTTATCTCAGTTGATCCGCCCACCTCGGCTTCCCAACGTGCTGGGGAAACTTGATTTTCTATAGCATTATGTTACTGGATATTTCTGTAAAATTTAAAATGAGGGAGGGAGAGAGACAGACGGAAAACAAACTCCAGAGTTGGGACTCTGGAATCTTGGGTCATGAGACAAATTTTAGATTAAACTACAAAACTCCAGAATTTACAGGTGGGGTTTTTACTGATAAAGTACAATTCTAAGATTGTAAATAATTGCATAATCCTTCCCTGGGAATTTAAATCATTTTAACTGGTTCTGCTGTAATACTAGAAATACAAGCATGAAAAATTCTAATGGTTTGTTAGTCACAATGACTCTGAAAACATTAATAATACCTATTAGATATTTTGCATATTACACAGGAAGAAGAGTTTGAATCTCAGATAAAAACAATAGAAATACATGAAAAGTCTTTCATGTTAGCACAGATTTTAGGCATCTCGTGTTCGGGAGGTTGGATCTCAGACGTGTTTTGAGTTGGTCATAGTGAAGGACACTAGGTGTCAAATTCTAGCGAGAACAATTTCCAGGAAGCCGTGTTCCGCTCTTGAGCGAGCACCCACTGGGCCTCATGCAAGGTAGAAAGAGCCTGCGTACGTCACCCTCCCATGATGTGGTCAACATGTAAACTGCATGGGCAGGGCGCCAAATAACATCCTGTGCGCTGCTGAGCTGAGCTCGGTCGCGGCTGCCTGTCTGCTCCGGCAGCACCATGTCGCTCTTGGTCGTCAGCATGGCGTGTGTTGGTGAGTCCTGGAAAGCAATAGAGGGAGGGAGTGAGGGGATGGAGATCTGGGCCCAGAGGTGGAGATATAGGCCTGGAGGTGGAGTTATGGGCCTGGAGTGGAGATCTGGGCCTGGAGTGGATATATGGGCCTAGAGATGGAGTGATGGGCCTAGAAGTGGAGATCTGGGCCCAGAGGTCGAGATATAGGCCTGGAGGTGGAGTGATGGGACTGTAGTGGAGATCTGGGCCTGGAGTGGAGATAGGAACCTGGAGGGGAGATAGGAACCTGGAGGGGAGATATGGGCCTGGAGGTGGAGATATGGGCCTGGAGTGGAGTCATGGGCCTGGAGGTGGAGTTACGGGCCTGCAGTAGAGATATGGGCCTGAAGTGGAGACATGGGCCTGGAGTGGAGATATGGGCCAGGAGTGGAGATATGGGCCTAGAGGTCGATATCTGGGCCTGGAGTGGAGATATGGGCCAGGAGTGGAGATATGGGCCTAGAGGTCGATATCTGGGCCTGGAGAGGAGATATGTGCCTAGGATGGAGATACGGGCCTGGGTGTGGAGATATGGGACTGGAGAGGATATATGGGCCTGGAGTGGAGATATGGGACTGGAGAGGAGATATGGACCTGGAGTGGAGATAAGGGCCTGGATTGGAGATATGGGCCCAGGGTGGAGATCTGAGCCTGGATTGGAGATATGGGCCTGGATTGGCGATATGGGCTTAGGGTGGAAATATCGGCCTGGAGTGGAGATATGGGCCTGGAGTGGAGATATGGGCTTGAGGTGGGGATATGGACCTGGAGGCTGGGTCTCTGCACAGCCGACAGCCCTGTTCTTGGGTGCAGGTAGGCACTGAGGGTGAGTTTACCTTCAGCCCAGGAAGGGCCTGGCTACCAAGACTCACAGCCCAGTGGGGGCAGCAAGGGTGCCCTGGTTTGCCTGCAGATGGGTCATCCATCATGATCTTTCTTTCCAGGGTTCTTCTTGCTGCAGGGGGCCTGGCCACATGAGGGTGAGTCCTTCTCCAAACCTTCGGGTGTCATCTCCCCACATAAGAGGATTTTCCTGAAATGGGAGGGAAGTCCTGTCAGGGAGTCTCTCATAAACTAGGAAGAAGGGACCCTGGGGTGCTGGGCCCACATTTCTGACCTTGCCTCCCTGGCCTTTCATTCCCTTGGCAGAGTCAAGTTCTGTGGGGACCAGGGTTAGACTACGGTGCTCAAAGCTGGGGTGTGTGGTGGGGAAGTGGTAGGAACAGCAGATCCTCTGAGGACAAAGGTGTTACTCACACACTTCAGTGTTTCCATGACGGTAGGGGCTGCAGTGTGGCTGCTGTCATTCTACCAGAAGAGGTGGGAAAACCACAGCCATGGCCCTGACATTCCAATCCTCTGATGGGGACTCAGTTGTTTATTTTCGTTCAGGCATCGGCTGATATTCCATTCTCAAAGGACATGCCCTCCACCCCATGTCTACCCTGTGTTGTTTTATGTGAGTAATCTTACAGTATTAAAATCTAGTAGGAGTCTCTTACTCAGCACTTGCTCAAAGTTCTCAGCTGACACTTTTGTTGTAGGGAGACACCTTGTGTTTGCGGGATGGGTCCTTCCTTTAGCCCTGGGCACCAAGGTGTGATAGCAGCCATAGAAACTTGGAAAGCGAGGAGAATCTTCAGAGCACAGGGAGGGAGGGGTGGCTCCACATCCTCCTCTCTAAGGCGGTGCCTCCTTCTCCCCAAGGTGGTCAGGACAAGCCCTTGCTGTCTGCCTGGCCAAGCCCTGTGGTGCCTCCAGGACATGTGATTCTTCAGTGTCATTCTTATCTTGGGTTTAACAACTTCAGTCTGTAAAAGGAAGATGGGGTGCCTGTCCCTGAGCTCTACAACATAATATTCTGGAACAGCCTTTTCATGGGCCCTGTGACCCCAGCACACGCAGGGACCTATACATGTCGGGGTTCACAACCACACTACCCCAGTGGGTGGTCGGCACCCAGCAACCCCCTGGAGATCACGGTCACAGGTCAGAGGGCTCCTGTCTGGGATTCTCCTTGTCCCACCTCCTGAATCCCAGAGCTCCTGGTGGGCGTGTCCTTGCGGGTCCCATCATGCAAGTCCTGACTGTATTTGGGGTAAAGGGGGATTGAATACAGGGAAATGGGTGCTGTGGTGGAAAGAATAATTGTCCCCAGTGATGACTACATTCTAATCCCTGGAGTCTGTGACTATTTATGATATAGGGGAAGGGACTGAAGGAGAAGATGGAGCTCAGGTTGTTGATGAGTTGACCTTGAGATGGGGAGACAGCCTGGACTGTCCTGATGGGCTCAGTGTAGTCACAGGGGTCCACATGAAAGGAGGAGGAAGAGGGGAGTGGGGATTACAGCAGCATAATGGGAGTCTCCATCAGCTTTGAAGGTGGAGGAAGTCCAGGAGCCATGAATGCAGATGGCCTATAGAGGCTGGAAAAGTCAAGTAACTGATTCTCCTGAGTCTCCAGAGGGAACGAAGCCCTGCAGGTACCTTGATTTTACCCACGACAAACAGGGTCCGATTTCTGTCTCCAGAATTGGAAGGGGTTAGTGTGCTCTCTCCTGCTGCCATGCTTCTGATAATTTTCTACAGCAGCAACAGGAAACCAACACTGGAACCCAGGTCAAGGACAAGTTAAGAAACAACACAAGGATAGCCAGGCATGGTGGCAGGTGCATGTAATCCTAGCGACTTGGGAGGCTGAGGGCAGGAGAATCACTTGAACCCAGGAGACAGAGGTTGCAGTAAGCCTAGACCACACCACTTCACTCCAGCCTGGGCAAAGGAGTGAGACTCTGTCGCCAAAATTAATTAATTAATTAAAGAAACCAAACAAGGAGAAGGTTGGCTACACTGAGATCAGCAAGGCTCGGATGATGATGCCACCACCAGGCTCCATCCACATAGGGAGGGGTTGATACTCCTCCAACCAGCACCAGGAGCCAGGCTATGGAAGCTGGCACTGGCATGGCAAGAGTGTCTCCCAGTCCCTACCAGGAACAGGGTGTGTGGCCACTGGTGCCTGCCTTACTGATCAGTTCATACCTCCTGCCAAGGATTCCAATTCGTCCAAAAGAGATTGAACCAGGCTGCTAAGAGCCTGGATGTGCAGCCTATCCTGGTTCCTCTTCCACCCCCACATAGACAGCAGGAAAGACATTAGTTCGAAATAGATACAACAGCCCAAGAGATGAGGCTGAGCCCAGCGGCAAGGGAATCAGAGGCTACTAGAGACAGAGGGACAGAGAAGAGTGAGGGAGACAGATGGAAGGACCTGCACCAGGAGTTATGGGCACAGAAAAGAACATGAAGACACAGAGAGGAAGGAGAGAGATAAGACACCAGGAAGGGGAAGCCTGACTCAATCCAGGTGCCATGGATGGGATGATAAAGAGAGACACCTTCTAAACTCACAACCTCTCTTCCTAGGAGTCCACAGAAAACCTTCCCTCCTGGCCCACCCAGGTCGCCTGGTGAAATCAGAAGAGACAGTCATCCTGCAATGTTGGTCAGATGTCATGTTTGAACACTTCCTTCTGCACAGAGAGGGGATGTTTAACGACACTTTGCGCCTCATTGGAGAACACCATGATGGGGTCTCCAAGGCCAACTTCTCCATCAGTCGCATGACGCAAGACCTGGCAGGGACCTACAGATGCTACGGTTCTGTTACTCACTCCCCCTATCAGGTGTCAGCTCCCAGTGACCCTCTGGACATCGTGATCATAGGTGAGAGTGTCCAGACTTTCTTCTCATTGTCATTGGGATGCAGAGTGAATGATCCAGGACTTGGAGGCCCAGGTGGCTGTAAGGAAGATGAGCTTGGTATTCTTATGGAGAGAGACTGACTTGGTGAGGTCTGTGCCAACAGAGACAGAGAAACAGGAGACACAAGTAGAGACCAGGTGTCATAACAGAGAACAGACACAGGGGCCATACCGGGAGTTTGAAAAGACAGAAAGAGTTAAAGGAGACACACAGACAGACATGTCCCAGAGAGAGGTGTCCCTCCATGCTGACTTTGCTCAGAGACCTGGCACAGGTTAGAAGTTTCATTTCTGTTTTACCTCCACAAAGTGTTCTCTACCAGGAGAACCCAAGGACACCCATATTTCTGACCTGAGTTGGGCCCTGTGGCCTCAGGCCTTGTGGCACCTACAGATGCCATGTTTATTCTGACACCTCTGCCTTCCATGTAATGGAGAGTAATCGTCCCAGGATATCATGGCCCCACAACACCAACCCCTGTATGCTGTGTGAACTTGTAGTCTCCAGACTGGATTCTGAGGCTCATATTCCAAATAAGCCCACTTATGAGAGGATCAGTGAGAGGCACAGAGAGAAATCAGGGACACCAAAAAGCAAAGACATAAACACACAGAGAATGAGCCAGAGGAAGGAGATTGAGAGACTCACAGACACATAAAGAGAGAGAAAAGAGGGCAGAGAAGTGAGAATGATGGAAGGGAGCAGAGAAAAGCACTAAAATTAGACTCCTGAGGGAGAGGCACAAGGACATTGAAAGATGGAGATGTGGGGATGAATTGCAGAGATTCCAAAGAGAACTAGAGAGACCGAGAGGCAGAGCAAGACAGATGATAGATGGATAGATATAGATAGATGATAAATAGGTAGATGATAGATACTAGGTTATAGATACATAGATGATGATTGATTGATTCATTAATAGATGAGACATAGAGATGATGATGATGAAGACAGATAGATAGATAATACATAGAGATACAGAGGCAGACATAGAGAAATCATAGAGAGAGAGAGATGATACATAGATATAGATAATAGATGATTGATGGATAGATAGACAATTGATGGATAAATAGATGATATATAGATATAGATGACAGGTAGAGAATTTGTAGATAGGCACCGAATAGATAAATAGATAGATCGATAGATAATAGATAGAAATATGCAGAAAGTTATGAACAGGACACAAAGTGAGAAACTCAGAATTAAAAAAAGTAACATCAAGTCAACCAATCCAAGGACACTCAGAGAGAATAAAACAATCCAAAAAGAGAAAACATATCTAGAGGTGGGGAAGTGAGGTCAGAGACCTAGAGAGACAGAGAAGGTGGAAGGAGGAAATAGACATGAAGAGCGATGGGGTAGAGGGTGAGAGAGAGAGAGAGAGAGCATTAGGTCATAGAACAGGGGAGTGAGTTCTCAGCTCAGGTGAAGGGAGCTGTGACAAGGAAGATCCTCCCTGAGGAAACTGCCTCTTCTCCTTCCAGGTCTATATGAGAAACCTTCTCTCTCAGCCCAGCCGGGCCCCACGGTTCTGGCAGGAGAGAATGTGACCTTGTCCTGCAGCTCCCGGAGCTCCTATGACATGTACCATCTATCCAGGGAAGGGGAGGCCCATGAACGTAGGCTCCCTGCAGGGACCAAGGTCAACGGAACATTCCAGGCCAACTTTCCTCTGGGCCCTGCCACCCATGGAGGGACCTACAGATGCTTCGGCTCTTTCCGTGACTCTCCATACGAGTGGTCAAAGTCAAGTGACCCACTGCTTGTTTCTGTCACAGGTGAGGAAAGCCCATGGCTGTCCCATGTCCTATGATCCTAGAGCCTTAGCTGAGGGGCTTCCTGCTGATGATGGAGAGAAGCATGGACAGATGCAGAGAGAAGACGCAGCCTCGGTGTGAGGGAGGGATCAGGGCACAGGATGGCCGACAGGGCACCTCCAAACCCTCCTACATGGCCTGCATGGAGGCCCACGGCCAGGGCTCCAGGCACCCAGGCAGATGGAGAAAGCGGTCAGGAGAGACCCAGAGGAGGGAGACTGGGCTCAGTTTGGGGAGATCAGAGGTTCCCTCAGCCCCTCAACCTTACCCATTTCCCAGAAGCCCATCCTGGCCTCTCACCCACACAGAGATGTCATCACCAGCAACCCCTACACCCTTTACTTTTCTTTGAAGAAATATTTATTGAGGATAAATATACCTATATAGCTTACCACTTTTAACATTTTTTTTTGAGGTGGAGTCTAGCTGTGTCCCCTATGCTGGAGTGCAGTGGCACAATCTCAGCTCACTGCAACCTCCACCTCCTGGGTTCAAGCGATTCTCCTGCCTCAGCCACCTGAGTAGCTGGTGCTACAGGCACGCACCACCACGCCAGGCTACTTTTTGTATTTTTAGTAGGGAGGTGGTTTCACCATGTTGGTCGAGCTGGTCTCGAACTCCTGACCAAGTGATCCACCCGCATCTGCCTCCCAAAGTGCTGGGATTACAGGCATGGGCCACCGCGCCCAGCCACATTTACCATTTTTAAGTGTAAAGTCTAGTGGTCATAAATACATTTATATACATATATATATATATACATTTTTTTTACCCTCCACCCTTTTCTTCCTGTCCTCCAGTAGCCACCATTCTACTCTCTACCTTCATGAGATCCACCTTTTAGCTCCTGTATATGGGTGAGAAATGGGAATCTTTGTAATGACCTCCAGTTCCATCCATGTGGCTGCAAATGACAGGATGTTATTCTTTCTATGGATGAGTAGTCTCCACTATGCGTATGTACTACATTCTCTCTATCCATTTACCCACTGATGGGCAGGTAGGTTGACTCCTCATCTTGGCTACTGTGAACAGTGCTGCACCAATCATACGAGTGCAGATATCACTTCGATATATTGATTTACTTTCCTTTGGATATAAACCCAGTAGTGAAATTGCTGGATACTATGAAAGTTCTCTTTTTTTCTTTTTTTCTTTTTTGAGAAAGAGTTTCCCTCCTTAGCCCAAGCTGGAGTCAAAGTGGTGCGACCTTGGCTCATTGCAACCTACGCCTCCTGGGTTCAAATGATTTTCCTGCCTCAGCCTCCCTAGTAGCTGGGATTACAGGTGCACACCACCATGCCTGGCTACTTTTTGGTTTTTTTAGTATAGATGGGGTTTCCCCATGTTGGCTGGGCTGCTCTCAAACTCATGACCTCAACTGAGGTGCCCGCCTCAGTCTCCCAAAGTGCCGGGATTACAGGCATGATCCACCGCACCCAACCTCTTTTTAGTTCTTTAAAGGACTTCCATACTTTTCTCCGTAATGGCTGTACTAATTTACACTCCTCCCAACAGGGTACCAGGGTTCTCCTTTCTCTACCACCTTGCCAGCATTTCTTTTGCCTGTCTTGCAGCTAAAAGCCATTTTATTTTATTTCATTTTATTTTGAGATGGAGTTTTGCTCTTCTCACCCAGGCTGGAGTGCAGTGGCGCGATCTCGGCTCACCACAACCTCCACCTCCCAGGTTCAAGCGATTCTCCTGCCTCAGCCTCCCGAGTAGCTGGAATTACAGGCACACGCCACCACGCCCGACTAATTTTTGTATTTTTAGTAGAGACAGCGTTTCTCCATGTGGGTCATACTGGTCTCAAACTCCCGACCTTATGAGATTCACCCACCTCAGGCTCTCAAAGTTCTAGGATGACAAACGTGAGCCACCTCACCCGGCCTAAAAGCCATTTTAATGGGGTGAGATGAAAACTCACTTTGAATTTAATTTGCGTTTCTCTGATGATGAGTGATACTGAGCAGTTTTTCGTATGTGGGGAAATTTCATGTCTTTTGCTCCTTTTTCAATTAAATCATTTGTTTTATTGAGTTGTTTGAGCTTCTTATATTTCTAGTTATTAATCCCATCTCAGATGCATAGTTTGCACATATTTGCTCCCAATCTGTGGGTTGTCTCTTCACTTTGTTGGTTTATTTTTAGCGGTGCAGAAGTTGCTTAGTATGAGGTAATCCCAATGGTCTATTTTTGCTTCGATTACTTGTGTTTTCAAGGTTTAAAACAAAATGTCTTTCTTCAGACAAGTGTCCTGGAGCATTTCCCCAATATTTTGTTCTACGTGTTTCATAGGTTCAGGCCTTAGACTCACATCTTTAATCCATTTTCATTTGATTTTTGTGTATGGTGACAGGTAGAGGTGCAGTTTCATTCCTCTGCATGTAGATGTCCAGGTTTCCCTGCACTGTTTATTGAAAAGACTGTCCTTTCCTGATTGTGAGTTCTTGGCATCTTTGTCAAAGTCCATTGGATGGGCTGGGCTTGGTGGCTAACACCTGCAATTTCAGCACTTTGGGAGCCCGAGGTGGGTGGATCACCTGAGGCCAGGAGTTCAAGATTAGTCTGGCCGACGTGATGAAACATCATCTCCACTAAAAATATAAAAATTAGCTGAGCATGGTGGTCAGCACCTGTAATACCACTACTCAGGAGTTTGAGGCAAGAGAATGATTGAACCCAGGAGGCTGAGGTTGCAGTGAACCGAGATTGCACCTTTGCACTCCAGCCTGAGTGACAGAGCAAGACTCCATCTCAAAAGAAAAAATAAAAAACCATTGGATGTAAATGCATGGAATATATCTGTGTTATTCATTCTGCTCCGTTGTTCTATGTGCCTTTCTTTATGCCAGTGTCATGCTATTTTGCTTACTACAGCTCTGTAACATATTTTGAGATCAGGTAGTGTGATGCTCCTGTTTTCTCTTTATACCTTGAAGTCTCAAGACAGTGGGTGTCACATAAAAAAATTATGGAAAAAAGGATCCCAGGACTCCCAGGGCCCAATATTAGATAACAGAGTGTTGGCCATGAACCATCCTCAAAGATTTCCACTGAGTGGAGGACAGAAACCCTCATTTCCTCACCTCTCTCCTGTCTCATGTTCTAGGAAACCCTTCAAATAGTTGGCCTTCACCCACTGAACCAAGCTCCGAAACCGGTGAGTACAGAACCCTCTTATATCCGCTTTTGGAAACCTGGGGAGGTGGAAACCTTGGATTCAGGCGTTGACTCAGCATCTCACAGCTCTGACATTGTACCCCTGTCTTCCACCATCTCTGAACTCCAGATACTCCTACAGCGAAAGGGATCTGGGCCCAACACAGGGCTCAGTGAAATCTCTTCATCTCTCATTTTATGGAGCTGAGACCTCCTACAAGCTAGAAGAATGATTGCCAATCTGACATCCTTCTCAGGAAAAATGCAATGTTTGTTCTGCCTGCATTCCTAACTGGAGGATAAATTCCTGGAGACTTGAGAGAGGAAAGGGAAGGGAACATCTGATGAGGGCGAGGTGTTTTAGAGAAGTTCCACTTGCCAAGGAATGAGCTCCTGTAGGTCATGAAGCAACCCTGGCTGACTCAGCAGAGCAAGAGCCTTGCCGTAACAGAGAACAGAGCTCATGCACGCACACTTCGACTCACTGACTCATTCAGCCACGGCCCCATGCTCAGGCTGTGCAGTGCGGAACCTTTTCCTATTGTTGCCATAACAAATTTCCACAAGATTCGTGGGTGAAAACAAAACGGTTTTTTAATTATCTTACAGTGCTGTAGCTCAAAGTAGGAAGTGCATCTTACTGGGCTAAAATCAAGGTGACAGCAAGGCTGCCTTCCCTCTGAGGATTCCAGGCACGAATCTGCTTCTCACTTGTCCCAGCTTCTAAAGGCTCCCAGTTCCTTGGCTCCTGGTCCCCTTCCTCCTTCCTCAAAGCCCACAAAGACTGGTCACATCTCACATGGCATCACTCAGTGCCTTCTTCCTTACCACACTTCTTTCTCTGAATGCTGCTCTCCCTTCTTCCTCATCTTTTGAAAACTTGGGGATTCTATTGGGTTCACCAAGATGAAAATCCCTCATAATCTCCTGGAAATCATCCAGGATACCCTTGTTTTAAGTTCAGCTGATTAGTAACCATAATTCCATCTGCAATCTTCATTCCTCCTTTCCATGTAAAATAACATATTCACAAGCTATGGAGGCTAGGACAGGGACATTTTGGGGTGGGACAGCATTCTCCTGCCTTCCACAAACAGTGAACAAGATGCATTTGGCCTCTGCCCTTGGGACACTGATATTGCAGATGGTTAAATGGGAGGGCAGAAAATGAATGCACAAGTGGATCTATAAATGAATGATCCATTGGGAAGCATCTGTGCGTGAAATCTATTTTTTGTTTGTTCTTTTGTTTATTGAGACAGAGTCGCCCTCTGTCTTCCAGGCTACAGTGCAGTGTCACCATCTTGGCTCACTGCAACCTGCGTCTCCTGGATTCAAGTGATTCTCCTGCCTCCGCCTCTCGAGTAGCTGGGATTACAGGCAACTGCCACCGTGCCCGGCTAATTCTTTTTGTATATTTTTTGTAGAGAGGATGTTTCACCACGTTGGCCAAGCTTGTCTGAAACTCCCAACCTCAAGTGATCCGACCGTCTCAGCATGCCAAAGTAATGAGACTACAGGCGTGAGCCACTGTGCCCAGCCAGAATTCAAAATCAATAATAGATAATGCTGAGTGTATGATTTCAGGTGACAAAGAAGGTCTCACTATTCAGATATTTGTGACATTAATGAAAAACACGGATTGAACCCCTGAAAGATTGGCGGAAGGATTTTGCACACACAGCTGTCAGCCGTGAAGGCACAAAGGTGAAAACAATCTGATGTGGAAGGAAGAGGCTCTGCCTCAAATGCTGGGAATGATGTGGGGAGAATGACAAGACGACTGTGGAGAGACGGAGAGCACACTGGGTACACAGGAAACTAAGGAGCAACAAGGAGCGTGTGTTTGACACTCACAGCCATTGGATTCACCTCGAGGTAACCAGGAATCCCTACATGATTAATAGTGACTGACATGAAAATAAGGGAGGCTCAGTTGCGTAACTGGAATCTAGGAGACCGTGGAAAAGGCAATTGCCGCCCCACTGGTGAAATGTGGTGCTGATTTAGACACTAAATGAATGAAGTAGATGGATATAAGATAGGTTTGTGAGGTAGAATCATTGACTGGAAAGGCTTGCTGGGTTTGATTTTCCTACTTGTTTAATCCTCGCTTAATTAATTTCTTTCTGAGATTTATTCATCCTACACATAAATCAATACCTGGCAAAGGAGTGACAGATATATGAGGGGTGGTGGAAATGAAGGGACCTATTATAGCATAATATACAAGTCTCTGAACGGTGGCTCACGCCTGTAACCCAGCACTGCAGGAGGCCAAGGCGGGTGGATCACATGAAGTCAGCAGTTCCAGACCAGCCTGGCCAACATGGTGAAACCCTGTCTCTAGGAAAAACACAAAAATTAGCCGAGCATGGTGGTGCATCCCTGTAATCCCAGCTCCTACTCTGGAGGATGAAGCAGGAGAATGACTTCAACCCAGGAGGTGGAGGTTGCAGTGAGTGGAGGTTGCATCACTGCACTCCAGCCTGGGTGGCACAAGGAGACTCCGTCTCAAAAAATAAAAATAAGAAATGCATAAATATAAATATAATATAACACACGCAAATGACAAAGGGACCTGAATTCCAATCATGATTTTTCTATTTCTCTATAATTACTTCTTTGATCCTTTATCTTATCCATTAGGCAATGAGCCTAAAACCTCTTCCCTATTTGGCTTTCTGTGAGCATGAGATCATATAGAAAATGTGAAAGTCCGCTGAATCCTCCAGCACAGATCCTGGAATAGAGAAAGTGCTCTGGTCATCACAAAAAAAACTTGCCCACTCACCCAAATCCCCCACCTCACCCCTACTTCCAATCACCTGTGGAGATTCAGATAGACCATGGGGAGGTAAACATTAACACTCCTTGGAGTGAGTCCAGATCTTGGAATCAGAGATCAGCGACAGCACTAGCTCCTGCTCCCCTTTCCTACTAATTCACAGGAGGACAGGTGGTTTTGAAGCAATAGATGGCCGAGGGGGTGGTCCTTCCCCCAGCCTCTCAGGTAGAACAGCAGCCTAATATGTGTCTCCCGAGATCACAAAGAGCAGCAGGTTTCACACGGGCTTCAACACTATTTCCTGGCCGTTTGACATAAGAGAATTCTATTTCGCTTTTTTTATCTTGATTTCACTTTTGTTTTCTTTCCTTGGAGAATGCAAGTTGTTTGACTCAAGAATGCTGTGGATGTAGAAACCCTAAAGCACATTCGCTGTGAATCAATCCCAGTCCAGCCTTCCCAGAGAAGACTCTAAACACCTCCTGGACTGCACCTGGGCCTATGCCAATTCCTATCACTCACCGTCACTCCAGGGAGACAGAACACACAGAGAATACGTTACATAGGCAGGTTCATTACTAACAGATAAGCAGCGAGTGACAACAGAAACCTATATTTCAATGTGACCCAGTCCCTCAAGGCTCAGAAAAGCTCCTCGGGACATATGGAGTCACCCCATTTGCAGTGTAGCTGCGGGAAGCCAGAAAGCAGCCCAGCCTGGGTTTTGTAACCTGGAGCCACAGGAAGCACTCAGCTAAAGCACTGCATGACGTCCTCCAGGAAGAACAGGAAGACAGCCCAGGGTGTTCTGAGACGTTCCTCCTGATCTCAGGAAGTTGCTGTCTTAGTCCATTTTTGTTGCTCTAAAGGAACACTTGAGCCTCGGTAACTTCTAAAGAAAAGAGATTGGTTTGCCTCACCGTTCTGCAGGCTGTACTGGAAGCATGGCACCAGCATCTATTTCTCGTGATGGCCTCAGGCTGCTCCCACTCTGGCAGAAGGGAAGGAGGGTCTGTCTGTGCAGAGACCACAGAGATCACACGGCAAGAGAGGGAGCAAGGGGGAGGGGGAGCGATGGAGCTTCCAAGCTCTTTTTAACAACCAGCTCTCCGGGAACTAATAGAGGGGGAACTTGCTAACCCCGTCTCCTTGGGACAGCATTGATGTGTTCATGATGGATCCACCTCCATGACCCAAACACCTCTCAAGAGGCCCAACCTCCCACAGTGGGGGTGAAATTTCAATGTGAGGTTTGAAGGGGTCAAACATCTCAACTAAAGTAGTCGTATCCTCAGCACGTTCTATGGTTACTATGAGAGCTATAACTGAAAAAGCAGGAGAAA
This sequence comes from Homo sapiens, assembly GCF_000001405.40. NCBI lineage: Eukaryota > Metazoa > Chordata > Mammalia > Primates > Hominidae > Homo > Homo sapiens. The sequence goes on along the minus strand of NT_187684.1, from coordinate 87,800 downwards.
GCTGGGTCTCCTGCCATCTGGGTGCTTGTCCTAAAGAGGTGTTTTATGTGGTTACCTGTCAATCAAGAAATGCGAGACAATTCATAAAGAGGAACTGCTAAGATTAGCTTCTTATTGGTGTCTCATCTTCTTCCAGGTAACCCCCGACACCTGCACATTCTGATTGGGACCTCAGTGGTCATCATCCTCTTCATCCTCCTCTTCTTTCTCCTTCATCGCTGGTGCTCCAACAAAAAAAGTAAGTCTCACGAAGCAGAGGCCAGAGAGCTCAGGGCCATGTGGGGAAGCAGGATGGGAGCACTCAGGTGTGTGTTCCTCACTAACAGGATGGTCCCTGGCCCAAGGCAGCAGCCACAGAGGCAGGACTTTCTAGAGAGGGCACCAGACTCCCTGCCCCTGCCTTCAGCTCACAGACCGTTGCCTGATTCTGAACTGTATCCTCATGTCCCCTGCAGCCACTCACATCCAGGAGAAGGTTCCATGACAGGCAGAAAGTGGGAGACAGAATCAATGGGATGGGAACTCAGAGCTATTCATGGGATGGGTCCTTGAGCTCAGAGAGATAGAATGTCTGAGTCTGCTGTTGGCAACTGAGGGACCTCAGCCACCTATGGTCTCCCCCTGTATGTTGGTATCTGCTTATGAAATGAGGACCCAGAAGTGCCCTCCGAGCTGTTTTGTTGACTTCCATCTCCTACAGATGCTGCGGTAATGGACCAAGAGTCTGCAGGAAACAGAACAGCGAATAGCGAGGTAGGTGCTCCTCGGCCCGGGCTCGTGGCTACTGTTATTCCCAAAGAGTCCTGGAAAATGTGAGCACCCTCCCTCACTCAGGATTTCCCTCTCTCCAGGACTCTGATGAACAAGACCCTCAGGAGGTGACATACACACAGTTGAATCACTGCGTTTTCACACAGAGAAAAATCACTCGCCCTTCTCAGAGGCCCAAGACACCCCCAACAGATATCATCGTGTACACGGAACTTCCAAATGCTGAGTCCAGATCCAAAGTTGTCTCCTGCCCATGAGCACCACAGTCAGGCCTTGAGGGCGTCTTCTAGGGAGACAACAGCCCTGTCTCAAAACCGGGTTGCCAGCTCCCATGTACCAGCAGCTGGAATCTGAAGGCATGAGTCTGCATCTTAGGGCATCGCTCTTCCTCACACCACAAATCTGAATGTGCCTCTCACTTGCTTACAAATGTCTAAGGTCCCCACTGCCTGCTGGAGAAAAAACACACTCCTTTGCTTAGCCCACAGTTCTCCATTTCACTTGACCCCTGCCCACCTCTCCAACCTAACTGGCTTACTTCCTAGTCTACTTGAGGCTGCAATCACACTGAGGAACTCACAATTCCACACATACAAGAGGCTCCGTCTTAACGCAGCACTTAGACACGTGCTGTTCCACCTTCCCTCATGCTGTTCCACCTCCCCTCAGACTAGCTTTCAGCCTTCTGTCAGCAGTAAAACTTATATATTTTTTAAAATAACTTCAATGTAGTTTTCCATCCTTCAAATAAACATGTCTGCCCTCATGGTTTCGGTAATGGGACTCTTTTCTTGCCTAAGGCTTCCGGTGTTATCAGTACCATGTCCATATAATCCCATCTGTTCCCCACTGAGTTCTCATCCCTGGACTCTGAGCTTCTGGAAGCAGGGTGGAGCCTCATTTGTCTCTGGGACTCCAATTTCCATCCAAAGATGTAGCACATAGGAGGTTCCAAGGATCGCGAATCACATGAACAAGTGATACTCTTACTCTCTGCAGACCTGGAAAGCTGGCAGAGTCATTCCACAATGAAACATTTGTAGAGTCATAGGCCTTGTTAGTCTCATCTCCATGGGGACACATATCAACACATCTTCTTTCATAATATAAATATACGGTCACTCCTCCATATCTGCGGGGCTTACAGGTGTTTATTGAACCAAGTATAAATCAAAAATATTGAGAGAAAGTATGCACAGAGTTTCAAAAAGCATAACTATGTTAAATGGACACAAATGAAGCTGTGTGTAGGCTGTATCAGGAATTATAAGTAATCTAGAGATGATTTCATGTATACAGGAGGATGTGCATAGGTTATTTGCAAACGCTGTGCCATTTCATATAAGAGGCTTGAGCATCTACAGATTTTGGTATCTGAGTGGAGATCTCAAAACCAATCACCCACGAATAGTGAAGGATGACCGTATATGACTTTTATTTCTCAAATTTAAATATAAATCATAAAAAATGTACAACTAGATAAAAACTAAGAAGTGTTTTTGTAGTGTGAGTTAGATTTATTTTTTCCTAGGTGTAACCAATTGGTTTAATATTATTTATTGAGAAGACATTCTATGCCACCTTAAACCACACGGCAGCCTTTGTCAACTCTAAAGGGACTGTGTGTACATGGATGTATTTTAGACACTGTTTCTGCTAAGGGGCTCTCTGTGTCCACACTCTTGATGATGCTGCACTTTATGTAGCCTTATAGAACCCTTTAAATTTAGTAGCCAGAGCCCTCTAATTTGTTATTATAGGCTGTTTGCTTTTTTTTTCTTGAGGCGGAGTCTTGCTCTGTCGCCCAGGCTGGACTGCAGTGACACAATCTCAGCTCACTGCAACCTCCGCCTCCCAGGTTCAAGCGATTCTCGTGCCTCAGCCTCTTGAGCAGCTGGCGTTACAGGTGCCTGCCACCAGGCACGGCTAATTTTTGGATTTTTAGCAGAGACACGGTTTCACTATATTGGCCAGGCTGCTCTCAAACTCCTTATCTCAGTTGATCCGCCCACCTCGGCTTCCCAACGTGCTGGGGAAAACTTGATTTTCTATAGCATTATGTTACTGGATATTTCTGTAAAATTTAAAACGAGGGAGGGAGAGAGACAGACAGAGATCAAACTCCAGAGTTGGGACTCTGGAATCTTGGGTCATGAGACAAATTTTAGATTAAACTACAAAACTCCAGAATTTACAGGTGTGGTTTTTGCTGATAAAGTACAATTCTAAGACTGTAAATAATTGCATAATCCTTCCCTGGGAATTTAAATCATTTTAGCTGGTTCTGCTGTAATACTAGAAATACAAGCATGAAAAATTCTAATGGTTTATTAGTCACAATGACTCCGAAAACATTAATAATACCTATTAGATACTTTGCATATTACACAGGAAGAAGAGTTTGAATCTCAGATAAAAACAATAAAAATACATGAAAAGTCTTTCACGTTAGCACAGATTTTAGGCATCTCGTGTTCGGATAAAAATACATGAAAAGTCTTTCACGTTAGCACAGATTTTAGGCATCTTGTGTTCGGGAGGTTGGATCTGAGACGTGTTGTGAGTTGGTCATAGTGAAGGACGCGAGGTGCCAATTCTAGTGAGAACAATTTCCAGGAAGCCGTGTTCCGCTCTTGAGCAAGCACCCACTGGGCCTCATGCAAGGTAGAAAGAGCCTGCGTACGTCACCCTCCCATGATGTGGTCAACATGTAAACTGCATGGGCAGGGCGCCAAATAACATCCTGTGCGCTGCTGAGCTGAGCTGGGGCGCGGCCGCCTGTCTGCACCGGCAGCACCATGTCGCTCATGGTCGTCAGCATGGCGTGTGTTGGTGAGTCCTGGAAAGGAATAGAGGGAGGGAGTGCAGGGATGGAGATCTGGGCCCAGAGGTGGAGATATAGGCCTGGAGGTGGAGTTATGGGCCTGGAGTGGAGATCTGGGCCTGGAGTGGATATATGGGCCTGGAGATGGAGTGATGGGCCTAGAAGTGGAGATCTGGGTCTGGAGTGGAGATATGGGCCTGGAGGTGGAGATATGGGCCTGGAGTGGAGATCTGGGCCTGGAGTGGAGATAGGAACCTGGAGGGGAGATAGGAGCCTGGAGTGAAGATATTGGCCTGGGATGGAGATATGGGCCTGGAGTGGAGACATGGGCCTAGAGGTGGATATCTGGGCCTGGAGTGGACATATGGGCCTAGGATGGAGATATGGGCCTGGGTGTGGAGATATGGGCTTGGGGTGGAGATATGGGCCTGGATTGGAGATATGGGTCTAGGGTGGAAATATTGGCCTGGAGTGGAGATATGGGCCTGGAGTGGAGATATGGGCTTGGGGTGGGGATAGGGGCCTGGAGTGAAGATATTGGCCTGGGATGGAGATATGGGCCTGGAGTGGAGACATGGGCCTGGAGGTGGAGATATGGGCCTGGAGGTGGAGATATGGGCCTAGAGGTGGATATCTGGGCCTGGAGTGGACATATGGGCCTAGGATGGAGATATGGGCTTGGGGTGGAGATATGGGCCTGGATTGGAGATATGGGTCTAGGGTGGAAATATTGGCCTGGAGTGGAGATATGGGCCTGGAGTGGAGATATGGGCTTGGGGTGGGGATAGGGGCCTGGGGTGCGGATATGGGCCTGGAGGCTGGGTCTCTACACAGCCGACAGCCCTGTTCTTGGGTGCAAGCAGGCACTGAGGGTGAGTTTCCCTTCAGCCCAGCAAGGGCCTGGCTACCAAGACTCACAGCCCAGTGGGGGCAGCAAGGGAGTCCTGGTTTGCCTGCAGATGGATGGTCCATCATGATCTTTCTTTCCAGGGTTCTTCTTGCTGCAGGGGGCCTGGCCACATGAGGGTGAGTCCTTCTCCAAACCTTAGGGTGTCATCTCCCCACATAAGAGGATTTTCCTGAAACAGGAGGGAAGCCCGGTGGGGGATTTTCTTATAAACAAGGATGAGGAGACCCTGGGGTGCTCAGCCCACAGTTCCGACCTTGCCCTCCCCAGCCTTCCTTTCCCTTGGCTGAGTCAGGTTCTGTGGGAACCCGGGAGGGTAGACTGGGGTCCTCCAAGCTGGGCTGTGCGGCTGGGATGTGGTGTCACTGGCAGAGGAAGGGAGCAAAGCAGTGCTAGGAACAGCAGGCCTCTGAGGACAAAGGTGTAACTCACACCCTCCAGCGTTTCCATGACGGTAGGGGCTGCAGTGTGGCTGCTGTCATTCTACCTCAGAGGTGGGGGAACCCCAGCCAGGGCCCTGACCTTCCAAATCCTCTGTTGGGGGCTCAGTTGTGTATTGTGGTTCACACATTGGCTGATATTCCATTCACAAAGAACATGCCCTCGACTCCATGTCTATTTGTGTTGTTTTATGTGAGTAATCTTGCAGGATTAAAATCTAGTAGGAGTCCCTTACTCAGCACTTGCTCAAAGTTCTCAGCTGACACTTTTGTTGTAGAGAGACGCCAAGTCTATGCGGGGTGGGTCCTTCCTGTAGCCCTGGGCACCCAGGTGTGGTAGGAGCCTTAGAAAGTGGAAATGGGAGAATCTTCTGACACGTGGAGGGAGGGGCGGCTCCACATCCTCCTCTCTAAGGTGGCGCCTCCTTCTCCCCCAGGTGGTCAGGACAAGCCCTTCCTCTCTGCCTGGCCCAGCCCTGTGGTGTCTGAAGGAGAACATGTGGCTCTTCAGTGTCGCTCTCGTCTTGGGTTTAACGAATTCAGTCTGTCCAAAGAAGACGGGATGCCTGTCCCTGAGCTCTACAACAGAGTATTCCGAAACACCGTTTTCATAGGCCCTGTGACCCCAGCACATGCAGGGACCTACAGATGTCGGGGTTCACACCCACACTTCCTCACTGGGTGGTCAGCACCCAGCAACCCCCTGGTGATCATGGTCACAGGTCAGAGGGCTCCTGTCTGGGATTCTCCTTGTCCCACCTCCTGAGTCCCAGAGCTTCTGGTGGGAGTGTCCACCAGCGTCCCATCATCCAGACCCTAACTGTATTTGGGGTAAAAGGGGATTGAATACAGGGAAATGGGTGCTGTGGTGGAAAGAATAATTGTCCCCAATGATGACTGCATTCTAATCCCTGCAGTCTGTGACTATTTATGTTATAGGGGAAGGCACTGAAGGGGAAGATGGAGCTCAGGTTGTTGAGTTGACCTTGAGATGGGGAGACAGCCTGGACTGTCCTGCTGGGCTCAGTGTAATCACAAGGGTGCACATGAGAGGAGAAGGAAGAGGGGAGTGGCGATTAGAGCAGTGCAATGGAAGTCTCCATCAGCTTTGAAGGTGGAGGAAGGCCATGAGCCATGAATGCAGGTGGCCTATAGAGGCTGGAAAAGTCAAGGAACTGATTCTCCTGGGTCTCCAGAGGGAACGCAGCCCTGCAGATGCCTTGATTTTAGCCCTCAAAAAACAGGGTCCGATTTCTGTCTCCAGAAACGGAAGGGGTCAGTGTGCTCTCTCCTGCTGCCATGCTTCTGATAATTTTCTACAGCACCAACAGGAAACCAACACTGGAACCCAGGTCAAGGACAAGATAAGAAAGGACACAAGGATAGCCGGGCGTGGTGGCAGGTGCATGTAATCCTAGCAACTCAGGAGGCTGAGGGCAGGAGAATCACTTGAACCCAGGAGACAGAGGTTGCAGTGAGCCTAGACCACACCACTTCACTCCAGCCTGGGTGAAGGAGTGAGACTCTGACTCCAAAATTAATTAATTAATTAAAGAAACCAAACAAAGAGAAGGTTGGCTACACCGAGATCAGCAAGGGTGGGATGATGATGCCACCACCAGGCTCCATCCACATAGGGAGGGGTTGATACTCCTCAAACCAGCACCAGAAGCCAGCCTATGGAAGCTGGCACCATGGAGAAGGCACAGGCATGGCAAGAGTGGCTCCCAGTCCCCACCAGGAACAGGGTGTGTGGACACTGGTGCCTGCCTTACTGATCAGTTCATACCTTCTGCCAAGGATTCCAATTCGTCCAAAAGAGATTGAACCAGTCTGCTAAGAGCCTGGACGTGCAGCCTATCCTGGTTCCTCTTCCACCCCCACATAGAAGCAGGAAAGACATTAGTTCGAAATAGATACAACAGCCCAAGAGATGAGGCTGAGCCCAGCGGCAAGGGAATCAGGAGCTACTAGAGACAGAGGGACAGAGAAGAGGGAGGGAGACAGATGGAAGGACCTGTACCAGGAGTTATGGGCACAGAAAAGAACATGAAGACACAGAGAGGAAGGAGAGAGATAAGACACCAGCGAGGGGAAGCCTCACTCATTCTAGGTGCCATGGATGGGATGATAAAGAGAGATGCCTTCTAAAGTCACAACCTCTCTTCCTAGGAGTCCACAGAAAACCTTCCCTCCTGGCCCACCCAGGTCCCCTGGTGAAATCAGAGGAGACAGTCATCCTGCAATGTTGGTCAGATGTCATGTTTGAGCACTTCCTTCTGCACAGAGAGGGGAAGTTTAATGACACTTTGCGCCTCACTGGAGAGCTCCATGATGGGGTCTCCAAGGCCAACTTCTCCATCGGTCGCATGACGCAAGACCTTGCAGGGACCTACAGATGCTACGGTTCTGTTCCTCATTCCCCCTATCAGTTGTCAGCTCCCAGTGACCCTCTGGACATCGTGATTACAGGTGAGAGTGTCTGGACATTATTCTCATTGTCACTGGGACACAGAGTGAATGATCCACGACTTGGAGGCCCAGGTGGTTATAAGGAAGATGAGCTTGGTATTCTTATGGAGAGAGACTAATTTGGTGAGGTCTGTACCAACAGAGACAGAGAAACAGGAGACACAAGTACAGACCAGGTGTCATAACAGAGGACAGACACAGGGGCCATACAGGGAGTTAGAAAAGACAGAAAGAGTTAAAGGAGACACAGACAGACATGTGCCAGAGAGAGGTGTCCTTCCATGCTGACTTTGCTCAGAGACCTGGCACAGGTTAGAAGTTTCATTTCTGTTTTACTTCCACAAAGTGTTCTCTACCAGAAGAACCCAAGGACACCCATATTTCTGGCCTGAGTTGGGCCCTGTGGCCTCAGGCCTTCTGGCACCTACAGATGCCGTGTTTATTCTGACACCTCTGCCTTCCATGCAATGGAGAGTAATCGTCCCAGGATATCATGGCCCCAGAACATCAACCCCTGTATACTGTGTGAACTTGCGGTCCCCAGACTGGATTCTGAGGCTCACATTCCAAATAACCCCACATATGAGAGGATCACTGAGAGACACAGAGAGAAATCAGGGACACCAAAAAGCAAAGACATAAACACACAGAGAATGAGCCAGAGGAAGGAGATTGAGAGACTCACAGACACATAAAGAGGGAGAAAAGAGGGCAGAGAAGTGGAGAGAACAATGGAAGGGAACAGAGAAAAGCACTAAAATTAGAGTCCTGAGGGAGAGGCACAAGGACATAGAAAGATGGAGATGTGGGGATGAATTGCAGAGATTCCAAAGAGAACTAGAGAGACCGAGAGGCAGAGCAAGACAGATGATAGATGGATAGATATAGATAGATGATAAATAGGTAGATGATAGATAATAGGTTATAGATACATAGATGATGATCGATTCATTCATTGATTAATCGATGATACATAGAGATGATGAAGATGAAGATAGATAGATAATACATAGAGATAGAGAGGCAGACAAAGAGAAATCATAGAGAGAGAGAGATGATACATAGATATAGATAATAGATGATTTTTGGATAGACAATTGATAGATAAATAGATTATATATAGATATAGATGACAGGTAGAGAATTTGTAGATAGGCACCAAATAGATAAATAGATATATCGATAGATAATAGATAGAAATATGCAGAAAGTTATGAACAGGACACAAAGTGAGAAACTCAGAATTTAAAAAAAGTAACATCAAGTCAACTAGTCCAAGGAGAGTCAGAGAGAATAAAACAATCCAAAAAGGGAAAACATATCTAGAGGTGAGAAAGTGAGGTCAGAGACCTAGAGAGACAGAGAAGGTGGAAAGAGGAAATAGACATAAAGAGAGATGGTGTGGAGGGTGAGACAGAGAGAGAGAGCATTAGGCCATAGAGCAGGGGAGTGAGTTCTCAGCTCAGGTGGGAGGGGAGTTGTGACAAGGAAGAACCTCCCTGAGGAAACTGCCTCTTCTCCTTCCAGGTCTATGTGGGAAACCTTCTCTCTCAGCCCAGCCGCGCCCCATGGTTAAGGCAGGAGAGAGCGTGACCTTGTCCTGCAGCTCCCGGAGCTCCTATGACATCTACCATCTATCAAGGGAGGGGGAGGCTCATGAACTTAGGTTCCCTGCAGTGCCCAAGGTCAATGGAACCTTCCAGGCCAACTTTCCTCTGGGCCCTGCCACCCACGGAGGGACCTACAGATGCTTCGGCTCTTTCCGTGACTCTCCCTACGAGTGGTCAGACCTTAGTGACCCACTGCTTGTTTCTGTCACAGGTGAGGAAACCAGTCTGTTCCCCAAATAGTGGGACTCAGACGGACTACAATGGCCACATTCAGGGGAGCCTCAGATGGAGGGGGTGGCCATGGGGGTGTCAGCCAGAGACGCTGGATAGAAGACACACAAAGCAAACATACAGAAAGAGGCATAGACAGACAGACAGAGCGAGGCAGACAGATCACATTAGGGTTTGGGGTGGTAACTGCAACCCTACCTGAAGCTTGCAGATAGAGCACAGGCCACATAAACCACTTCCCAGTCTTTGTACAGAAGCCCACCTGGGACACATGTAAACAGCATCAATGCTGACTCAGGAGCATGAAAGGCCGGGCTCAGATTGGAAAGACTAGAGGTAGCATTGGCCGCCCGCCATTGCCCATTTCCAGAAGCCCCCACCTCTCACCAAAGAGTGATTTCCACATGGGGGGCACAGATGCAACCATCGTTGGGGGAGCCCCAATGTCTCTTGATGGGAGGCATTTTCCACCCTAGATGTTTTTTGCTCTCTCCACACCTTGGAGACTCAGTGGGGGAGTCTTCTCTGGGGACTCGGGGAGGGCCTCCCTGGGACTCGCAGGATTTCCAAGCTAGATGACAACATGACAGGTGGAAACAGGCCCATTCCTTCGCCAGGGGCCCCAAGCTCCATCCCAGGAGATGAGAAGAGGCTCTTCTCATTGGTCAGTGGATCCCTGAGGGGACAGAGGCTCAGCACTGAAGGCTGAGAAGGATCTGCCACTTCGCTCAGTGGCCTCAAGCCAGACATCTTCCCTACAGACTTGCAGTGATTCTCCATCAGCATTTAGGGCTGTGGCCACCAACCTGGGTGTTGGTCTGTAGGAACTTTTCATTTCTGACCTTCCATAACTGAGTTCTCTTCCTAAATGTGGAATGCCTTGTACTCCATGTTACTCTCTCCCCAGAAAGAATGTGTGGCTTGTCTGCTCTCCAGCCCTGTCATGGAGATTGATAATCCTTAGGGAGCAAGAGGAGAGGGAAAGAACAAAGTATGAGACCACCTAGGTGCTACTGGTTGAGGTTCCATTTGCCAGTGAAGGGACTTCACTCAGCCGAGGGGGCAACTCAGGGAAGTCAGCCGAGGGAGGGCATTAGAGTAGAGAGAACTGAGCTCACCCAGTAAATGACCCCTTCACTAACTCATTCATCTAATATTTATTTCACACCTACCATCAGTTCTCTCTGTTTCATGGCCAGGAGTAGACAGCACGGCCAAGCTCCTGGGTTCATGATGCTCACATTGCTGTGGGGTGGGAGAGAGAGGCAGAACATGAATGAATGAATGAGAGAATGAATGAATGAGTGAATGATGGAATGAGTGAATGAATGAATGAATGAATGTATGAATTAGTGAGTGAATCCTTAGCACTTGGTGAAAGTGCCATGCACAGAATGAAATGAATGAACGTGGAACGTTGTCATTTGGAGTGTACAGGAGGGAACGTCTCACTGAGACCTCATCAGAGAGATCACATTTAAACTCCGATCTTAGAGACAAGAGGGAGTGAGCCCTGGGGAGTGTATTGAAAGGAACTTTCATGGACTTAGGACATTGGGGATGACCCTAATGTGAGAATGAGCTTGGTGTGTTCCAAGAAGTCCATGGACCTGCCATATGGTGAGGGCTGGTCAGAATCCAGAGAGATTTCTAAATGCCCTTGTGCTTGTAAGGAAAGTGAGTCCTGTGGTTGGGAGTGGACTTATACCTTGGGTCAGGTCCAGCAATTATCTTTCTAAATCCTCTCTAATTGCCTGAACCACTTCTATCAACAACTGAGAAAAGAGGAGTGTTAAACACCCCACTGTGGCCGTGGATTTGCCTACCTGTCCATTTATTTCCGCGACTCTTCCTCCATGTATATTTGCAGGAATATTACTGGGAGTGGTTAAGTGTAAACTGATTATATATTCCTGGTAAATTTAAAATGCTATAAATTTACCTGCTTTTTTCCTACATTTTATGCTTAATGTTTTCCGCTGATTTTTCCCAAAGACTAATTTTGTCTAATTTTAATATAGTTATACCACATTTCTAACAGTGATTGCTTGGTATATTTCTACATTGTTTAATTTCAAACTCCATGAATTGTTAACATTGAGATGTGTCCTTTGTAAATTTCAAACAATTCGCCTTAGAAAGTAAGACTTTCTGACAATCTTTTGTTCATGTTTGAGCAGTTCTTCCAATCATATTTTTGTTATTATTACGTTGTGTTTTCCTGATTCCCTTTTTTTCCCACTGACTTCTGTGGTTTTCTATTTCAAACATTCTATTTTTGATCTATGTCGTTTAGGAATACATATATGGTGTACTCATCCTGAAGTTGTTACATATTTTTAAAATTGAAATTAATCATTTCAGAGATTAAACTGCAAATATAAAAACATATTTCCACTCTTCCTGTGTAAGAACAGGATTTTAGAGCATATTTAGTACATATGTTTGTATTTACTTATATGATGTTTTGTTTTGTGGTATACATAATTCTATCTTTTTCAGAAATTACACAGGGGCGTGTTTTCATACACTATCGTATGGTCCATATTCATTTTTGGCATAGCCATATTTTTAGTTCTTCCTCTGCTCTTAGTTATTGTCAGAATCTTCGACACCCCATCTGGTTTCACTTTCTTTATCTTTGAGGCACGGTCATCAGAATTTCCTTTAGGGTCAGTGAGAAAAGCTTTCTTTGCCCTTTTGTCTTTCAGTTCTGTTTCTTTCCTGCGTTGATCTTGGACAGTAACTGTACTATGTAAGGAATTGTCGGTGGCTGGCGACGGTATCTTAGCTGGGTAAAGATGCTATTCTACTGGCTTATGTTTTCCTTTTTTCTGTGGGGAAGACAATGCTTGGCTCCCTATAAATCCTTACCAGCTGATCCTTTTCCTCTGGCTAATTTTAAGGGTTGGTTGTGCTTTTATGCTGCTTTTCTGTAATGTTGAACGTGAGGTGTGTTTACTTCATTCTGCCTGGCATTCACTGGATTTCTTGAACCTGTGGATTGATGGATGTGTCTACTTCCTCCAAATAATCAACAATTGCCTCTTTAAAGATTGCTTCTGACCTGTTTTCTCGTTCTTTCTTTTTGGAACTCAAGTTAGGAGCATTCTAAAACTGTTGTCAATTTTTACCCTGTCACAAAACTGCTCTTTCTTGTTTCAGTTATTTGCTTTTTCTGTGCATTAATATTGATGGTTTCCTCTGTCATAGAGGATAAATACTCTCTTCACTGTTGTGTACACAACATTTTAACTAGTTATTCTGGTTTAAATTTAATATTGACTTTATCTACATATCACAATTGATTACTGTGTACAGACTTTCTTTTCTATTAGTATAAATTTATGAGGTACACTTGTAATTTTGTGACATGAATATGTTGCAGAGTAGTGAAGTCAGGACTTTTACTATATCCATCACCCAAATACCGTACATTGTACTCATTAAGCAAATTCTCATCACTCACCCACGTCCCGCCACCCTCCAGCCTTCTAGCCTCCGCTGTCCGTCATTCCACACTCTACGTCCATATGTACACATTACTCCCCTCCCATGTAGAGTGAGAAGATGTGGTATTTGTCTTTCTGAGTGGTTTTATGTAAAATAATGGCGTCCAGCTCCATCTATGTTGCTGCAAAAGACATGGTTTTATTTTTATGACCAAATAGTATTTCGTTGTGTATACACGCATCCTTTTTTTAATCCAATCATTCATTCACAGACACTTAGATTGATTTCATATCTTTGCTATTGCAAACAGTGCTGCAATAAACATACAGGTGCAGATATTTTTTGAGTAGATACCCAGCAGCGGGACCCCTAGATCGAATGGTGCTTCTATTTTTGGTTCTCTGCCAAATTTCCATACTGTCTTCCATAGAGGCTATACTAATTTACATACCGGCCAACAGTGTATAAGAGTTTCCTTTTCTCTGCATCCTTGCCAACACCTGTTATATGTTTCACTTTTTCTTTTTTTCTTTTTGAGATGGAGTCTTCCACTGTCACCCAGGCTGGAGTGCAGTGCCGCCATCTCCACGCGCTGCAACCTCCACCAACCAGGTTCAAATGATTCTCCTGCCTCAGCCTCCTGAGTAGCTGGGATTACAGAACCACACCACCATGCCCAGCTAATCTTTTGTATATTTAGTAGAGATGGGGTTTCACTATGTTGGTCAGGCTGGTCTCAAACTCCTGACCTCATGATCCACCCGCCTCAGCTTCCCAAAGTGCTGGGATTACAAGCGTGAGCCACCACTCCCCACCAGCATTTTTAGTAATAGCCATTCTGACTACTGTAAGATGATATCTCATTGTGGTTTCAATTTGCATTTCTCTGATGATTAGTGATGTTCATACGCTGTTTGGCCATTCGTATGTCTTCTTTTGAAAAATGTCTATGTATATCCCTTTGCCCACTTTTTAATGCTATTATTTGAGGGGTTATGTTTAGTTGTTTGAGTTGCCTAGAAATTCTGGATGTTAGTCCTCTGTTGGGTGCATAGTTTGCAAACATTTCCATTCATTCTGTGGGTTGTCTGTTCACCCTGCTACTATTTCCTTTGCTTGGCAGAAGCTCTTTCGTTTATTAAGTCCCATTGGTCTAGTTTTATTTTTATTGCCTGTGCTTTTGAGGTCTTAGTGATGAATTCTTTGCCCAGACCAATGCCCAGAAGAGTTTCTCTTTGGGTTTCCACCGGTGATTTTATAGTTCTGGATTTACATTTAAGCTGCTAATTACCTTAAGTTAATTTATGTGTATGATTACAGATACAGGTCCAGTTTTATTCTTCTGCATATGGCTATTTAGTTTTCCCAGCACCTTTTATTGAAAAGGAAATCTTTCTCCAGTGTATGTTTTGTTAACGTCGTCAATGATTATTCACTGTAGATATGAGGCTGTATTTCTGGGCTCTCTATTCTGGTCTATTGATCTCTGTTTCTGTGTCTATACCAGCACTGTGCTATTTAAGTTACTATAGCCTTAGAGCATAGTTTGAAGTCAGATAGCGTGATGCCTCCAGGTTTCTACATTCACCTAGAATTGCTTTCTCTATTAGGATCTTTTTTGGTTCTGTATGAATTTTAGGATTGCTTTTTCTAATTCTGTGAAAACTGGTGTTACTATTTTCATATAAGAATTGCACTGAATCTGTAGATTGCTTTAGGCAGTATGGTCATTTTAACAATATTAATTCTTATGATCCATGAGCGTGGGATTTTTTTTCTTTTTTTTTTTTGTATTATCTATAATTGCTTTCATTGGTGTCTTACACCTTTCCTGGTACAGATCTTTCACCACCTTGGTTAAATGTATTCCTGAGTGTTTTAATTTTGCGTATCTATTGTAAACGGCATTGCCTTCTTGATTTGGTTCTCAGCTAGATCATTATAGGTGTAGAGAAATGCTACCGGCTTTTACATATTGATTTTGTATTCTGAAACTTTACTTAGTTCATTTATCAATCATAAGAATTTTTGGCAGGGTCTTTAGGATTTTCTAGATTTAAGATCATAGCATCAGAAATAAAAATAATTTTACTTCCTCTTTTCTAATTTGGATTTTTAATTCTTCCTGTTGCCCAATAGCTCTGACAAGGCTTCCAGTACTATGTTGATAGGAAGTGGTGGATGTCCGTGTCCTTGTCTTGTGCCAGTTCTCAGAGGAGTGCTTTTAACTTTTCCTGTTCAGTATGATGTTGACTCTAGATATGTCATCTATGGCTTTTATTATTTTGAGGTATGTTCTTTCTATGCCTAAGTTTTTGAGGGTTTTCATCAGGTAAGGATGTTGAATTTCTTTTCAGATGCTTTTCTTTATGTCTATTGAGATGATCATATGGTTTTTGTTCTGGATTCTGCTCGTTCTTCTAAGTGGATGAGACATGCCAGAAAAGCATTTAGTCAGCCATCTTGGAAACAAACATCTCAGATGTTTTCTTTCTCTATAGCTCATTCTTTCTTACCAGTGTTTTCAATTTTGTACTTAATTTTGTAAAGAGAGTAAATGATATAATTTCCACATATGTTTCCTCTGCCAAATCAGACTCACTATGCTTCCTTTCCTTGTATGCATAACCTACCCAGCAATACACACAAACATTTATTGCTTTGGAGAATTAGTTTGGGAACATTTTTGAAATGTACAAAAAAATGTATATCTTCAAAAGAAATTTCTTTTTGTGGCAAAAGACTTCTGAAGGTGCTCATGATGATATAGGGAGAAGAGGGGTTCTGGACAGGAAGAATTTTATGAAGGTGAGATGGGGAAATAGCTCCATTTCAGAGCTTCTGGGGAGAGAGGGGCCTGGCCCACATGGAAAGGTCTCTGATCTTACCCCCACCCTCCAGCCCCTGTTCTCCAGAACTATACTGTGGAGAGTTCCATCAGGATTGTTGTGGCTGGTCTGGTCTTCCTGGCTCTTTTGGCAATGCTGGCTAAGACCTGGTGGAGACATGAGGGGCCACAGGTGGAAATGGAAGAAACATGACTGAAGCTGGCTGGAGTGAATGGCGCGACATTCTGTCTGTGGGAGATTGGCCAGATGGGTTTCAAGTGTGTTGTATCAGCTGTGACTTTTAGTAATGTTCTTGCTACCACAATATCCACTCGTCCATCCCGAATAATTGTGATGAAATATTGTCCTTGGGATAATATTCATTTGCTAAAGACAGGGATGATACCTCAAGGTGCCACTATATACATCGAGGGGATCCACAAAAGTCCATTCAGTAAAATGTAGTTGGCATCTTAGGGTAGGTTGATTCCACCTCTAAAAAAGTAGGTACAACATCAGGTTGATTTTTCCGAAGAAAAGTGGTGATTGGCCATCTTTAGTCTCAATGTAAACGGTAATACTGATGAGTGTGGAAAAGGCAGGGAAGAGGATTGACAATAAGTGACACTCATTGTTTTCATCTGAGCTTTGAGACTGAAAGAGGAACACAGGAGTGAGATGTATGGGAACAAACCCCTTCTTTTTCCAGCTAAACAGAGTGGAAGTTGGACACTGAGTTTTGGCGTACAGCAAAATCCTAAGTCCATTGTTGGGTTGAACACGGCCATGTTGTACATCCTGGTTTCACAGCAGACACTGGAGGAAAACAGCCTGTATTCATAAGAGGCTGTCCCTCGGGTCACTGCCCAGAATATCCGGAGTTGGTGCTCACAGGGTTGGGAACTCTCCTGGACCAGACAGGCTCTGGATATGGGGGGGTACCAAGCTCCCCGGGGCCATGCCTCCACAGCTCTCTTCTCACCTCATTCTTGACCATTTCCCAAACCTCTGACCTCACCTTCATTCATCCATGGTGAACACGCTAAAGCTGGCCTTCAAAGCTTGAGACAGAGGAAAATTGGGCTTCATCTCTGGGAACTAAATTGGGGAGTGGAGACTCAGTTCTGGCCTGACAGGAGGGAGAAGACCCTGGATCCCAGTGTGGATGGGAAGAAGTATGTGTTTCTCTTTTGTGCTTGGACCCTGTGTCCAAGCATGTCTGAGATGTGATGAAGATGAATCTTCCTTTCCTTGTCTATTTTCTCATGCCAGAGAATTGGAATCTTATATTCCATTAACTCTTTCTGTTCTGTTCATCCAGATTCTATGAAGGAGAAAGGAAAAGATGTGATACTGTAATTTTGCTCCATTTGTCTAAAATGAGTAGGCTGCAACTCCTCTTGAAGTGATACCTTTTCTAGCTCTTGTTGGAGGTGTCTCAGGACTCATTACTTCGGGGAACCTGCAACTGTGTCAGTCTGGGGAAACTGCAAATATTCTTGTCTTACATTTGTCTCCAGCCAATTGTGATGGACTCCAGTGACCTGCAATTGCTGTTATTGCAGGTAAAATGTACCTGAGTCAGGCCACAGTTCTCCTGGACTATGAGCCCCTGGCCATGTTCCTGAGGCAATTCTGTTCATCTAAATATAATAATAATAACACACTAAAAATGGCAAGCCATTGTTAATTCCTGAAGTCTCATTTGAAAATTACTAAATGTCTGTTATTTTTTGGTGTTTACATTATATGTAGACAGATAAACTACACACACACACACACACACATGCACACAGAAGAATGGATTGGTTCATGTAGAAAAGTAAATAATTCAAGATGAAAGGATGAAATGTCATGGCACCTACTATTCTATTTTAGATAAAGGGTCTATGAAAAGATTGATTTCTTTTTATGTTTTATTTGTTGACATTTGAACACAAACTATGTAAGTGAGGGAGTCGATTTGAAAGGGAGAAGAGCAAGTTCAAACACATTCAGGTGAGGTCATGCTTTACATGTTTTAATTGAAATGATCCATCTTGGGAGTAGATCAATAACTGAGATGGTGCCAGGAATGTTAAAAAGCTTTTGTCAGTCCTAAATATTGACAAATAAAATTTAATTAAAGTCTTAGAAGAAAACACAAAGGAAAACTTCACAACATCGGATTTGGCAGTGATTCTTTAGATGTGACAACAACGGCACAGGCTACTACAGAAAAAATAAACAAGTTAGACTTTATGAAAATTTTGAAATATTGTGACTCAAAAGACAACATCAGTTACTTCACATGGCAAGGAAAAAGAACTTTTAAGACGATATTATCAAAGTAAAAAGACAACCCACAGAATGGGAGAAAATGTTTTCAAACCACACCACCTGTAAGGGATTAACATCCAGAATATACAGACAACTCCTAAAACTCAATCACAATAAACTCAATTCAAAAATGGGCAAAGTACTGAAACAGACATTTCTCCAAAGAACATACGCATGAAAAGATATTCAGCATCACGAATCATTAGGGAAATACTAACTAAAACTACACCAGATGCCATTTCATACCCCTTAGGATGGGTATCATCAAAACAACAACAACAACAACAACAAAGTTTCTATACATTAACAACAAACTATCCAAAAAAGTTTACAAGAAAATAAGCCCATTTGCAATAACTACAGAAAACAAAACATGCAGGAATAAATTCACCCAAGGAGTAGAAAGATCTGTATGCAAAAGCTATAAAACATTGATGAAAAAACTCAAGAAATAAACAAATAAATCGAAAGATATTCCATGTTCACGGATCAGAAGGATTAATGTTGTTAAAATGTCCATTCTATCCAAAGTGATTCAATGCAACCATTATCAAAAATCCAATGACATTTTTTTTACAGAAATAGAAAAAACAGTCCTAAAATTCATGTGGAACCACAAAAGATCTCAAATAACCAAAGCCATCTAGAGGGAAAGGAACAAAGTTGGAAGCATCACATTACCTAAACACAAACTACATTACAAAATTACAGTAATTAAAACAACACAGTACTTGCATAAAAACAGACACATAGACCAATGGAAGTGATTCATAGCCCAGGAAAAAAATGCATGCATTTAGGGTCAAACAATTTTTGGGATGTGTCAAGAACACACAATGGAGAAGGAACAGTCTCTTTAATAAATGGGATTGGGAGACTGCATGTCCACATGCAGAAGAATGGAAGTGGACATTTGCCTCACAAAACATACAAAGTCAACTCAAGATAGATTAATGACTTAAATGTAAGATGAAAGACTATAATCCCAGCAATTTGGGAGGCCAAGGTGGGCAGATCACCTAAGGTCAGGATTCCAAGACCAGCATGGCCAACATGGTGAAATCCCGCCTCTACTAAAAATACAAAAACAGCTGGGTGTGGTTGTGGGTGCCTGTAATCTCAGCTACTCGGGAGGTTGAGACAGGAGAATCACTTGAACCCAGGAGGTAGAGGTTGCAGTGAGCCGAGATCGCACCACTGCACTCCAGCCGGGGCAACACAGTGAGACTCCATCTTAAAAAAAAAAAAAAAACTACTAAAAGAAATCAAGGGAAAACTCCACTGGCTTGGGCAAAACCATTTTGGATATTAACCCAAAGGCCCAGGCAACAAAAGCAAAAGTAGACAAATAACATTATATCAAATTGAAAGTTTCTGCAAAGAAAAAAAAAACTCAACAAGTGGAAAGACAACCTATGGAATGGGAGAATATATTTGCACCCATACATCTAATAAGGAATTAATATCCAAAATATATAAGAAACTCAAACAACTCAATGGTAAGAAATCAAATAACCCAACTTAAAAAAATGGGCAAAGTATCTGAATAAACATTTCTAAGAATAAGACAAATCACCAAAAGGTATATGAAAAAATGATTAGCATTACTAAACATCAGCTAAATAAAAATTAAAACTAGAATGAGATATCACCTCACACCTCTTAGAATGACCATTAACAGTCTGGGCATGGTGGCTCATGCCTGTAATTCAGGCACTTTGGGAGGCCGAGGCAGGGAGATTACCTGAGGTCAGCAGTTCGAAACCAGCCTGGCCAATATGGTGAAACCCCATCCCTACTAAAAATACAAAAATTAGCAGAGTTTGGTGGCGCACACTTGTAGTCCCAGCTACTCTGGAGACTGAGGCAGGGGAATCGCTTGAACCCAGGAGGCAGAGGTTGCAGTACACCGAGATTGTGCCACTGCACTCCAGCCTGGGTGACAGAGCAAGACTGAGTCTCAAAAAAAAAAAAAAAAAAAAGACCATTATCAAAAACATAAAAAATAACAAGGGTTAACGAGGATGTGGAGAAAAGGGAACATTTGTATGCAGTTGATGGGAATGTAAATTAGCATAACCATTATGGAAAACAGTCTGGAAGTTCCTGAAAAAATTAAACATAGAATTCCCATATGTGTCTGCAATCCAACTACTGCGCATGTATCCAAAGGAAGTGGAATCAGTATGTTGAAGAGATATCTGCATTCCCATGTTTACAGCCGCATTATTCATAACAGCCAAGATGTGGAATCACCCTTACTGCCCATCTATGGGTGCATGGACAAAGAAAACGTGGTATACGATAGGAACGTAATGAAGTACTATACAACCTTTACAACAAAGAAGGAAGTCCTCTCATTTGTGACAATGTGAAAAAACTTAGAGGACATTATGTTAAGGGAAACAATCCAGGCACAGAAAGACAAATGCCACATGATCTCATGTGTGGAGTGTAAGAAGTGGAACCTAGAGGAACAGTAAAATGGTCGTCGAAAGAACCTGGGATGGAGAGAGATTGAAGAGATGTTGGTCAAAGGATGCAAAATTTCAGTTAGAAGAAATCGGTTCAAGAGATCTATTGTATGTCTTGGTGACTCCAGTTAATAGCAACATATGGTGTATTGAACATTACTAAGAGATTAGATTTTACATGTTCTCACCACACACACAAAACATACAAGTATGTGAAAAAATAAATATGATAAAGAGGTTGTTTCATCCATTCCACAATGTGTACCTATATGAAAACATCATGATGGACACCACAAATACCCTTTTCCTCATTAATTAAATTTGTTTTGGTTTTTTTTTTGAGATGCAGTTTCACTGTTGTTGCCCAAGCTGAGGTGCAATGGCGTGATCTCCGCTCACTGCAACCTCTGCCTCCCAGGTTCAAGCGGTTCTCCTGACTCAGCCTCCCAAGCAGCTGGGACTACAGTTGCGTACCACCCCGTCCGGCTATATTTGTGTTTCTAGTAGAGACAGGGTTTCGCCATGTTGGCCAGGCTGGTCTCGAACTCCAGACCTCAGGTGATCCACCCGCTTCGCCCTCCCAAAGTGCTAGATTTCAGGCTGAGACACCACACCCAGCCTGTACATTGACTTTCTGCCCTTAAACTGTGCTGAAGTTTGTTTCTCAGATGTAGGAGCCTTTGGGCAGAGACTATGGGGTTTCTAGGTATAGAAATTATCTCATCTTCAAACAGAGGTAATTTGACTACCTCTCTCTGCTACTCTCTTCTTACTTGGATGCCTTATAATTCTTTCTCTTTCCTGATGGCTCTGTCTAGGACTTCAAGTACTATGTTGAATAGGATGGTGAGAGTGGGCATTCTTGTCTTGTTTCACTTATGAAGGGAACTTCTTCCAGCTTTTACTCATTCAGTATGATGTTGGTTGTGGGTTTGTCACAGGCGGCTCTTATTATATTGAGTTATGTTTCTTCAATGCTTAGCTTGTTGAGGGCTTTTAACATGAAGAAATTCTTAGTAAAAAGTATGTTCTACATGTGTGTTGAGAAGATCATGTGGTTTTTGTTTTTAGTTTTGTTTAGGTGATGAATCACATGTATTGATTGTGTATGTTCAACCAACCTTGCACCCTAAGAATAAAGTTGACTTGATCATGGTGGATTCACTTTTTGATATGCTGCGGGATTCAGTTCTTAGTATTTTTTGTGGATTTTTGCCTCTATGTTCATCAGGAATATTGGCATGTAGTTTTCTTTTGTTTAATGTTCTTTTCTGTCTTTAGTATCAGGGTGATGCCAGCCTTATAGAATGAGTAAAGGCCACCCTGGGCAAACAGTGAGACCCATCCCTTTTTAAAAATTATGAGTTTTACAAATTTAAAATGCATAGTGAAAAAGTTCTTACAAACTCCAGAAAGGTAGGTGTAAATAAGAGACATTTGTAAGAATGACAGCACATTAAATGTGTAGATTTCAACCTTCAGTTATTGCAATATTCCAGTATCAAGTTGGAGGATGTTATCAGTCTGATATTTTTTCCTCAAATGAGAGAGAGAAAGAAAGACACACAAACAACACAGGGAGAAAAAAAGCACACGTTACAGAGAGACAAAAAGGGAGACAGGGAACTGTGAATTTGGACTCTTGTGTCATAAGACAAATTCTAGATAACACGACCAGACCTTCAATTGACATATTGTGTTTTTGCTAATAAGGTGGAATTCTATGATGCGAAATAACTATATAGTCTTTTCTACTGGGATTTAAATCATTTTATCTGTTTCTGGCTTAACAGGAAAAATACAACCATGGAAAATTATGATGATTTATTTAATACGATTGCTCTATAGTGTTAATAAAACCTATTAGGTATTTTGCATATTACATATCAAGGAGAGTTTGAATCTCAGGTAGAAACAAAAAAAAATACATCAAAAGTTCCTCATGTGAGTGCAGAATTCAATCGTCCCGTGCAGGGGTAAGTGAGTCTGAGATGTGTTTTGAGCCTGGCCGTTGCGCATGATGTGAAGTGACAAGTCTAGTCTGCAGTTTTCAGAAACCCTCATTCCTCCCTTGACTGATTCACCACTTGAACCTCATATGACGTAGAAGAAGCCTACCTATGTCCCCTTCACATGTTGTGGTCAATGTGTCAACTGCACGATCCGGGCCCCTCACCACATCCTCTGCACCGGTCAGTCGAGCCGAGTCACTGCGTCCTGGCAGCAGAAGCTGCACCATGTCCATGTCACCCACGGTCATCATCCTGGCATGTCTTGGTGAGTCCTGGAAGGGAAGGAGCACCAGGGTTACACTATGGGCCTGCAGATTGGGTGTCTCCCCAGCAGAGAGCCATGTTCTGAAGCAAGTGAGTGGTGAGGATGAGTTAATTTTCAGTCCAGCGTGGCGCCCAGTGGCTCAGGAGGAAAGGGTAGGTTGGTGCCGAGATGAATAGTTCATCATGATCTTTCTTTGCAGGGTTCTTCTTGGACCAGAGTGTGTGGGCACACGTGGGTGAGTCCTTCCCCAAATGATGGGTTGCCATCTTCACCCCAATACAAGTGAATTTTCCGGAAATGGGAGGGAGGCAGCACAGAGGGTGGGCTGATGGGCTGACCATGGGAAGGCCTGGGGGGAGTCTCTCATGAACTAGTAAGAGGAGATCCTGGGAGTCTCTCATGAACTAGTAAGAGGAGATCTTGGGAGTCTCTCATGAACTAGTAAGAGGAGATCCTGGTATGCTCAGCCTTCTGTTTTGTCTTAGCCCTCCCCAGCCTTTCTTCCCCATGGCTGAGTTGAGCTCTGTGTGGCCCAGGCGGGATACTGAGGTGCTCAAAGCTGGGGTGTGTGGGGGGATGTGGTGTCACCGACAGAGGAGGGAAGGGTAGCAGTGTTAGGAACAGCAGGTCCTCTGAGGACAAGAGGGTAACTCACACCCTCCAGCGTTTCCATGACGGTAGGGGCTGCAGTGTGGCTGCTGTCATTCTGCCAGAAGAGGTGGGGGAACCACAGCCACGACCCTGCCATTCCAAATCCTCTGATGGAGCTCAGTTGTTTATTGTGGTTCAGGCATTAGCTAATATTCCATTCACAAAGGTCATACCCTCCACCCCATGTCTACTTTGTGTTGTTTGGTGTAACTAATCTTGCAGTATTAAAATCTAGTAAGAGTCCCTTACTCAGCACCTGCTCAGTTCTCAACTGACACTTTTGTTGTAGGGAGACGCCACGTCTATGCGGGATGGGTCCTTCCTGTAGCCCCAGGCACCCAGGTGTGGTAGGAGCCTTAGAAAGAAGAAATGGGGAGAATCTTCTGAGCACAGGGAGGGAGGGGCAGCTCAACATACTCCTCTCTGAGGCGGCATCTCCTTCTCCCCAAGGTGGTCAGGACAAGCCCTTCTGCTCTGCCTGGCCCAGCGCTGTGGTGCCTCAAGGAGGACACGTGACTCTTCGGTGTCACTATCGTCGTGGGTTTAACATCTTCACGCTGTACAAGAAAGATGGGGTCCCTGTCCCTGAGCTCTACAACAGAATATTCTGGAACAGTTTCCTCATTAGCCCTGTGACCCCAGCACACGCAGGGACCTACAGATGTCGAGGTTTTCACCCGCACTCCCCCACTGAGTGGTCGGCACCCAGCAACCCCCTGGTGATCATGGTCACAGGTCAGAGGGCTCCTGTCTGGGCTTCTCCTTGTCCCACCTCCTGAGTCCCAGAGCTTCTGGTGGGGGTGTCCACCAGAGTCCGATCATCCAGGCCCCAACTATATTTGGGGTAAAGGGGGATTGAATACAGGGGAATGGGTGCTGTGTTGGAAAGAATAACTGTCCCCATCGATGGCCACATTGTAATCCTTGGAGCCTGTGACTATGTTATAGGGCAGGGGACTGAAGGGGAAGATGGAGCTCAGGTTGTTGATGAGTTGACCTTGAGATGGGGAGATGGCCTGGACTCTCCCACTGGGCTCAGTGTAATCACAAGGGTCCATATGAGTGGAGAAGGAAGAGGAGAATGGGGATTAGAGCAGCATCGTGGGATACTCCACCAGCCACTGTGGGCTTTGAAGGTGGAGGAAGACCACGAGCCACGAAGGGGCTGGAGAAATCAATGGAACTGATTCTCCCGAGTCTCCAGAGGGAATGCAGCCCTGCAGATGCCTTGATTGTAGCCCAGGAAGAACAGGGTCTGATTTCTGTCTCCAGAAGTGGAAGGGGTCAGTGTGTTCTCTCCTGCCGCCATGTTTGTGATAATTTTCTCCAGCAACAACAGGAAACCAACACAGGAACCCAGGTGAAGGACAAGTTAAAAAACCAAACAAGAAGGTTGGCTACCCTGAGATCAGCAAGGGTGCACTGCTGATGCCACCACCAGGCTGGAACCACATAGGGAGGGATCGACAGGAAGAGTTAGGGGTGGAGGGTGAGAGAGAGAGAGAGAGCACTAGGCCATAGAGCAGGGCAGTGAGTTCTCAGCTCAGGTGGGAGGGGAGCTGTGACAAGGAAGAACCTCCCTGAGGAAACTGCCTCTTCTCCTTCCAGGTCTATATGAGAAACCTTCGCTTACAGCCCGGCCGGGCCCCACGGTTCGCGCAGGAGAGAACGTGACCTTGTCCTGCAGCTCCCAGAGCTCCTTTGACATCTACCATCTATCCAGGGAAGGGGAAGCCCATGAACTTAGGCTCCCTGCAGTGCCCAGCATCAATGGAACATTCCAGGCCGACTTCCCTCTGGGTCCTGCCACCCACGGAGAGACCTACAGATGCTTCGGCTCTTTCCATGGATCTCCCTACGAGTGGTCAGACCCGAGTGACCCACTGCCTGTTTCTGTCACAGGTGAGGAAAGCCAATGTCTGTCCCATGTCCTATGGTCCTAGAGCCTTAGCTGAGGAGCTTCCTGCTGATGATGGAGAGAAGCATGGACAGATGTGGAGAGAAGATGCAGCATGGTGTGAGGGTGGGATCAGGGCACAGGATGGCAGACAGGGCACCTCCAAACCCTCCTGCATGGCCTGCATGGAAGCTTGCAGTAAGGGCTCCGGGTACCCAGGCAGATGGAGAAAGTGGTCAGGACAGACCCAGAGGAGGGAGACTGGGCTCAGTTTGGGGAGATCAGAGGTTCCCTCAGCCCCTCAACCTTACCCATTTCCCAGAAGCCCACCCTGGCCTCTCACCTACACAGAGATGTCATCACCAGCAACCCCTACACTTTTTCTTTTCCTTTGAAAAAATGCTGATTGAGGTTAAATATACCTATATAATTTATCAACTTTACCATTTTTAAGTGTAAAATCTAGGGATCATAAATACCTTTATATGCTGTGTGCGGTGGCTCACGCCTGTAATCTCAGCATTTTGAGATGCCAAGGCAGGTGGATCATTTAAAATCAGGGGCTGGAGACCAGCCTGGCCAACATGGGGGAACCAATCTTTACTAAAAAGACAAAAAAAATAAAATTAGCCAGGCATGGTGCCAGGCGCCTATAATCCCAGCAACTTGGGAGGCTGAGGCGGGAGAGTGGCTTAAACCCAGGAGGAGGAGGTTGCAGTGAGCTGAGATCATGCCACTGCACTGCAGCCTGGTGACACAGAGAGACTCTGTCTCTAAATAAATAAATAAATACTTTTATATTCTTCTTTTGTTACCCTCCACCCCTTCCTTCCTAAC
The DNA here is from genome assembly GCF_000001405.40 of Homo sapiens. Lineage (NCBI taxonomy): Eukaryota > Metazoa > Chordata > Mammalia > Primates > Hominidae > Homo > Homo sapiens. The sequence goes on along the minus strand of NT_187684.1, from coordinate 61,809 downwards.
CTCTGGTATCCACCATTCTACTCTCTACCTTCATGAGGTCCACCTTTTACATCCTGCATGTGAGTAAGAAATGGCAATCCTTGTAATGACCTCCAGTCCATCCATGTGGCTGCAAATGACAGGACGTTACTCTTTGTATGGATGAGTTGTCTCCATTGTGTGTATGTACTACATTCTCTCTATCCATTCATCCACTGATGGGCAGGTAGGTTGACTCCACATCTTGGCTACTGTGAACAGTGCTGGAACAGTCATGGGAGTGCAGATGTCACTTCAATACACTGAAGTCCTTTTCTTTGCATTTACACCCACTAGTGGAATTGCTAGATCCTCTGGATGTTCTCTTTTTAGGTTTTGTTTTATGCTTTTTGTTTTTTTGACATAGCGTTTCACTCTTGTTGCCCAAGCTGGAGTGCAATGGCACCACCTGGGCTCACTGCAACCTCTACCTCCAGGATTCAAGTGATTCTCCAGCCTCAGCCTCCCGAGTAGTTGGGATTACTGGTGCCCGCCACCACGCCTGGCTGATTTTTGTATTTTTAGTAGAGACGGGGTTTCACCATGTTAGCCAGGCTGGTCTCGAACTCTTGACCTCCAGTGATCTGCCCACTTCAGCCTCCCAAGGTGCCGGGATTACAAGCGTGAGCCACAGTGCCTAATCTCTTTTTAGTTTTTAAGGAACTTCCATATTCTTCTCCTCTGTAATGGCTGTATTAATTTACATTCCTATCAACAGTGTATCAGGGTTCTCCTTTCTCCACCACCTTGCCAACATTTGTTTTGTCTGTCTCTGAGATAAAACCCATTGTAATGGGGTGAGATGATAGCTCATTGTGACTTCATTTGCATTTCTCTGATGATTAGTGATACTGAGCACTTTTTCATATATGCAATGTATATATGTTCATTTGTATGTTTTGTTCATTGAGAAATGTCTGTTCAGGTCTTTTACTAATTTTATAATTAAATTATTAGTTTTATTGAGGTGTTTGAGCTTCTTTTATATTCTAGTTATTAATCCCATCTCAGATGCATAGTTTGCAAATATTTGCTCCCATTCTGTGGGTTGTCTCTTCTTCACTTCATTGGTTGCTTCCTTTGCGGTGCAGAAGCTGCTTGATTTGATATAATCCCAATGGTCTATTTTTTTGTTGTTGTTGTGATTACTTGTGTTTTTGAGGTTTTAAACAAAATGTCTTCCCTCAGACAAATGTCCTGGAGCATTTCTCCAGTGTTTCCTTTTAGACATTTAATGGATTCAGGTCTTAAGTCATTAATCCATTTTCATCTGATTTTTGTGTATGGTGAGAGGTAGAGGTGCAGTTTCATCCCTCTGCATGTAGATATCCAGTTTTCCCTGCACCATTTATTGAAATGACTGTCCTTTCCAGATTGTAGATTCTTCGAACCTTTGTCAAAGTCCATTGGATGTAAATGGGTGGATTACATCCGTGTTCTTCATTCTGCTCCATTGTTTTATGTGCTTTTCTTTATGCCAATGTCATGTTGTTTTGCTTACTACAGCTCTGTAACATATTTTTAAGTCAGGTAGTGTGATGCTCCTGTTTTCTCCTTATACCTTGAAGTCTCAAGATAGTTGGTGTCACCTACAATGATTATGGAGAATGGGATGCCAGGACTCCCAGGGCCCAACATTAGATAATAGAATGTTGGCCATGAACCAACCTCAAAGATTTCCATTGAGTAGAAGACAGGCATCCTCATTGCCACACCTCTCTCCTGTCCCATGTTCTAGGAAACCCTTCTAGTAGTTGGCCTTCACCCACTGAACCAAGCTTCAAAACTGGTAAGTGAAGGACCCCTCTTATCTCTGCTTTTGGAAACCTGGGGAGGTAGAAGCCTTGGATTCAAGCGTTGGCTCAGCACCTGCCAGCTCTGTGATTGTGGGCCTGTCTTCCATTGTCTCTGAACCCCAGACACTCCAACAGCGAAAGGGATCTGGGCCCAGCACAGGGCTCAGTGAAATCTCTTAATCTCTAATTTTCTGCTGCTGAGACCTCAGGGTAGAAGGATGAGTGCAAATCAGACATTCTTCTCAGGAAAAATGCTGTGTTTGTTCTGCCTGCATTCCTAACTGGGAGGACAAATGCCTGGGGGCTTGAGAAGGGGAAGGAAGGGGAACATTTTTGAGGGTGGTGTATTTGTAGAGAAGTTCTACTTGCCAAGGAATGAGCTCCTGTCTGTCATGATCCAACCCTGGTTGACTTAGTGGAACAAGAGCTTTGCGGTAAGAGAGAACGTAGTTCATCCGTGCACATGACACTTCCACTTACTCGTTCAGCCACTGCCCCATGCTCAGACTGTGCAGTGTGGAACCTTTTCCTATGTTGCCATAACAAATTTCCACAAGCTTCGTGGATGGAAACCACATTTTTAAAAAATATCTCATGGTGCTGTAGCTCAGAAGTATGAAATGCATCATCTCACTGGGCTAAAATCAAGGTGACAGCAAGGCTGCCTTCCCTCTGAATGTTCCAGGCAAGAATCTGCTTCCTCACTTTTCCCAGCTCCTAGAGGCTCCCACATTCCTTGGCTCCTGGTCCCCGTCTTCCTCCCTCAAAGTCCACAAAGGCTGGTCACGCCTCTCACACGGCATCACTCAGACCCTTCTTCCTTGTCCACACCTCTTTCTCTGAATGCTGCTCTGCCTTCTTCCTCATCTTTTAAGGACTTTGGCATTCTATTGGAAACACCAAGATAATCCATCATAATTTCCCTAAAATCATCTAGGATACCCTCCTTTTAAGGTTAGCTGATTAGCAACCGTAATTCCATCTGCAATCTGCATTCCTTTTTTCCATGTAAAATAACATATTCACAAGATATGGCGACTAGGACAGGAATATTTTGGGGTGGGGCGGCATTCTTATCCTTTCCACAAATGGTAAACAAGGTGCATTTGGCCTCTGCTCTTGGACACTGATATTGCAAAGGATTAAATGGGAGGGCAGAAAATGAATGCACCAGTGGACCAATAAATGAATGATCCATTGGGAAGCATCTGTGCATGAGAATGATTGATTGATTGGTGTTTTTATGAGACGGTGTCTCCTTCTGTGCCCCAGGCTGGAGTGCAGTGGCGGGATCTCGGCTCACCGCAACCTCCACCTCCCAGGTTAAAGCGATTCTCTACACTCAGCTTCCCGAGAGGCTGGGATTACACCCATGTCCCACCACGCCTGGCTAATTTTTTTTTTGGTATTTTTTTTTAGTACAGACAAGGTTTTACCATGTTGCCCAGGCTATCTCAAACTCCCAACCTTAAGGGATCCGCCCGTCTCAGCCTCCCAAAGTGCTGAGATTAGAGGCGTGAGCCAAGGCGCCGAGCCGTATTTTAAAAGAAATAATAGATAATGCTGAGTGTATAATTTCGGGTGACAGAGAAGTTCTCACTGATCAAATAATACTTGTGACCTTAATGAAAAAAATAGATCAACCCCTGGAAGATTGGCGGAAGGATTTTCCACACAGCTGTCAGCCGTGAAGGCACAAAGGTGAAAACAATGTTATGTGGAAGGAAGAGGCTCTGCCTCAAATGCTGGGAATGAGGTGGGGAGAATGACAAGACGACTGTGGAGAGACAGAGAGCACTCTGGGTACACAGGAAACTAAGGAGGAACAAGGAGCGTGTGTTTGACACTCACAGCCCTTGGACTTACCTCGGGGCTAACTGGGAATCCCTACATGATGAATAGTGACTGACATGAAAATAAGGGAGGCCCAGGTGCATAACTGGAATCTAGGAGACTGTGGAAAAGGCAATTCCCGCCCCCCTGGTGAAATGTGGTGCTGATTTAGACACTAAATGAATGAAAGATGGACACAAGATGTGTTTGTGAGGTAGAGTAATTTGCAGGGAGGGCTTGCCTGGTTTGATTTTTCCTAATTGTTTAATCTTCACTTCATTGATTTCTTTCTGAGATTTATTTTTCCTACATGTAAATCAATACTTGGCAGAGGAGTGAGAGATACATGAGGGGTGGTGCAAAGGAAGAGACCTATTATAATATAACACACAAGGTTCTGAACGGTGGCTCACACCTGTAACCCAACATTTTGGGAGGCTGAGGAGGCTGGATCAAGTGAGATCAGGAGTTCGAGATCAGCCTGGACAACATGGTGAAACCCCATCTCTACTAAATATACAAAAACTAGCTGGGGGTGGTGGCGCATGCCTGTAATACCAGCTATTCGGGAAGTTGAAGAAGGAGAATGGCTTCAACCAGGGAGGGAGAGGTTACAGTGAGCCAAGATCGCGTCATTGCACTGCACCCTAGGTGACAGAGTGAGACTCCATGGCAAAAAATAAAAATAAAGAATACATAAATATAATATAACATACACGAATGACAAAGGCACACCAATTCCAATCATCATTTTTCTATTTCTCTATAATGACTTCTTTGATCCTTTATCCTATCCGTAAGAAAATCAGGCGAAAACATCTTCCTTATTTGGCTTTCTGTGAGCATGAGATCATATGGAAAATGTGAAACCCACCAGCACAGGTCCTGGAATAGAGAACGTGATCTGTTCATGGCACAAAACTTGCCCCTTCACCCAAATCCCCCACCTCACCCCTACTTCCAATCACATTAATGATACAGATAGATCATGGGGAGGTAAAAACTAATATTCTTTGGAGTTCAGATCGTAGACTCAGAGACCAGTGCCAGCACTATCTCCTGGTCACCTTTTGGAGTAATTCACAGAAAGACAGGCTGTATTGAAGCAACAGATGATGGAGGGGGTGGTCTTTCCCCCAGACTCTCGGGTGGAACAGCAGCCTAATATCTGACTCCCAAGATGACAAAAGTAGCATGTTGCCCACGAGCTTCATCATTATTTCCTGGCTGTTTGATATAAGACAGCTCAACCTCACTTATGTTGATTTCAATGTCACTGTTTTTTCCTTTTCTTGGAGAATGTAATTTGTTTGAGTCAAGAGGGTTGTGGATGTAGAAACTGTAAAGCACATTCACTGTGTATCAATCCCAGTCCAGTCTTCCCAGAGAAGACTCTAAACACCTCCCATACTGCACCTGGGGGCTGTGCCAATTTCTATCACTCACCATCACTCCAGGGAGACAGAACACACAGGGAATACATTACATAGGCAGGTTCATTACTTATAGATAAGCAGCGAGTGACAACAGAAACCTTCCTTTCAGGGTGAGCCAGTCCCTCAAGGCTCAGAAAAACTGCTCAGGACACATGGAGTCACTTCATGTGCACTGTAGCTGGGGGAAGCCAGAAAGCAGCCCAGCCTGGGTTTTGTACCCTGGAGCCACAGGGAACACTCAGCTAAAGCACTGCATGATGTTCTCCTCCAGGAAGAACAGGAAGACAGCCCAGGCTGTTCTGAGACGTTCCTCCTGATCTCAGGATGTTGCTGTCTTAGCCTATTTTTGTTGCTATAAAAGAACACTTGAGCCTGGGTATCTTCTAAAGAAAAGAGATGTGTTTGGCTCACTGATCTGCACGCTGTACTAGAAGCAGGACACTACCATCTATTTCTGGCTGCGGCCTCAGGCTGCTCCCACACTGACAGAAGAGAAGGGGGTCCTGCGTGTGCAGAGACCACAGAGATCACATGGCAAGAGAGGGAGAAAGGGGGTGTGATGGAGCTTCCAAGCTCTTTTTAAGAATCAACTCTCCAGGGTACTAATAGAGGGAGAACTTGCTAACCCCGTCCTCTGGGGACAGCATTAATCTATTCATGATGGATCCACCCCCATGACCAAAACACCCCTCCCAATAGGCACAACCTCCCACACTGGGGATTAAATTTCAAAGTGGGGTTTGGAGGGGTCAAACATTGAAACAATAGCAGTTGTATCATCAGCACATTCTATTGTTATTATGAAAACTATAACGGAGAAAGCAGGAGAAAGCTGGGTCTCCCGCCTCGTGGGTGCTTGTCTTAAAGAGGTGTTTTATGTGGTTGCCTGGCAACCAAGAAATGAGAGACAATCCACAAAGAGGAACTGCTATGGTTAGCTTCTTATTGGATTCCCATCTTCCTCCAGGTATCGCCAGACACCTGCATGCTGTGATTAGGTACTCAGTGGCCATCATCCTCTTTACCATCCTTCCCTTCTTTCTCCTTCATCGCTGGTGCTCCAAAAAAAAAGTAAGCCTCACGAAGCAGAGGCCAGAGAACTCAGGGCCCTGTGCGGAAGCAGGATGGGAGCACGCAGGTGTGTGTTCCTCACTGGCAGGAAAGTCTCTGGCCCAAGGCAGGAGCCAGAGGCAGAGCTTTCTAGAGAGAGCACCAGACACCCTGCCCCTGCCTTCAGCTCACAGACCGTTGCCTGATTGTGAACTGTATCCTCACGTCCCCTGCAGCCACTCACATCCAGGAGAAGATTCCATGACAGGCAGAAAGTGGGAGATAGAATCAATGGGATGGGAACTGACAGCTATTCATGGAATGGGGTCTTGCACTCAGAGAGATGGAATGTCTGAGTCTGGCTGTTGGCAGCTGAGGGACCTCAGACACCTATGGCCTCCCCCTGTGTGTTGGTATCTGTTCATGAAATGAGGACCCAGAAGTGCCCTCCCAGCTGTTTTGATTGCTTCCGTCTCCTACAGATGCTGCTGTAATGAACCAAGAGCCTGCGGGACACAGAACAGTGAACAGGGAGGTAGGTCCTCCTAGCCCAGCCTCATGGATACAGTCTTATTCCGAAATAGTCCTGAAAAATGTGAACACCCTCCCTCACTCAGGATTTCCCTCTCTCCAGGACTCTGATGAACAAGACCCTCAGGAGGTGACATACGCACAGTTGGATCACTGCATTTTCACACAGAGAAAAATCACTGGCCCTTCTCAGAGGAGCAAGAGACCCTCAACAGATACCAGCGTGTGTATAGAACTTCCAAATGCTGAGCCCAGAGCGTTGTCTCCTGCCCATGAGCACCACAGTCAGGCCTTGATGGGATCTTCTAGGGAGACAACAGCCCTGTCTCAAACCCAGCTTGCCAGCTCTAATGTACCAGCAGCTGGAATCTGAAGGCGTGAGTCTCCATCTTAGAGCATCACTCTTCCTCACACCACAAATCTGGTGCCTGTCTCTTGCTTACCAATGTCTAAGGTCCCCACTGCCTGCTGCAGAGAAAACACACTCCTTTGCTTAGCCCACAATTCTCTATTTCACTTGACCCCTGCCCACCTCTCCAACCTAACTGGCTTACTTCCTAGTCTACTTGAGGCTGCAATCACACTGAGGAACTCACAATTCCAAACATACAAGAGGCTCTCTCTTAACACGGCACTTAGACACGTGCTGTTCCACCTTCCCTCGTGCTGTTCCACCTTTCCTCAGACTATTTTTCAGCCTTCTGGCATCAGCAAACCTTATAAAATTTTTTTGATTTCAGTGTAGTTCTCTCCTCTTCAAATAAACATGTCTGCCTTCATTCTTTAGGTGACTCTTTTTTTGGCTGAAAGTTTCCAGTGTTATCATTACCATGTCCAAATAACTCCAACTGTTCTCCACTGGGTTCTCACCCCTGGACTCGGAGCTTCTGGAAGCAGGGTGGAGCCTGATTTGTCTCTGAGACTCCAATTTCCATCCAAAGATGCAGCACATAAGAGGTTCCAAGGATCGTGAATCACATGAACAAGTGATATTCTTACTCTCTGCAGACCTGGAAAGCTGGCAGAGTCATTCCATGATGAAACATTTGTAGAGTCATAGGCCTTGTTAGTCTCATCTCCACGGGGACACATATCAACACATCATCTTTCATACTATAAATATACAGTCGGTCCTCTGTATCTGTGGGATTTACAGGTGTTTATTGAACCAAATATAAATCAAAAATATTCAGAGAAAAAATCCACAAAGTTTCAAAAAGCAAAACTATGTTGAATGGACACAAATGAAGCTGTGTGTAGGCTGTATCAGGAATTATAAATAATCAAGGGATGATTTCATGTACACAGGAGGATGTGCATGGGTTATTTGCAAATGCTGTGCCATTTCATGTAAGAGGCTTGAGCGTCTGCAGATTGTGCTATCTGAGTGGAGATCCTGAAACCAATCACCCACGAATAGTGAGGGATGACTGTATATAATTTTTATTTCTCAATTTTAAATATAAAACATAAAAAAATTACAATAACAAGATAAAATAAACAAGTGTTTTATAGTGTGAGAATACGTTTAGATATATTTTTCTCTATGTGTAACCCTTGGGCCCATGTTATTTATTGAGAAGACATTCTATTCCACCTTAAACCACATGGCAGCCTTTGTCAACTATAAAGGGACTGTGTGTACACGGATGTATTTTAGACACTGTTTTCTGCTCAGTGGCTCTCTCTCTGTCCACTCTCTTGAGAATGCTGCATTTTATGCAGCCTTATACAACCCCTAAAATTTGGTAGCTGGAGTCCTCTAGTTATTTATTATAGGCTATTTGCTATGCTTTTTTTATTTTTCTTGAGGCAGAGTCTCGCTCTGTTGCCCAGGCTGGAGTGCAGTGGCACGATCTCGGCTCACTGCAACTTCCGCCTCCCAGGTTCAAGGGATTCCGTGCCTCAGCCTCTTGAATAGCTGGCATTACAAGTGCCTGCTACCAGGCATGGCTAATTTTTGTATTTTTAGCAGAGACATGGTTTCACTATATTGGCCAGGCTGGTCTCAAACTCCTGACCTCGGTTGATCACTCACCTCGGCTTCCAAAGTGCTGGGGAAATTGATTTTCTATAGCATTATGTTACTGGATATTTCTGTAAAAATTAAAATGAGGGAGGCAGAGAGACAGAGAGAGAGCAAACCATGAGTTGGAACTCTGGAATCTTGGGACATGAGACAAATTCTAGATAAATCTACAAAAATCCAGAATTTACATGTTGTGATTTTTGCTGATAAAGTACAATTCTAAGATTGTAAATAATTGCATAATCCTTCCCTGGGAGTTTAAATCATTTGAACTGGTTCTGCTGTAATACTAGAAATACAATCATGAAAAATTCTAATGGTTTATTGTCACAATTGCTCTGAAAACCTTAATAATACCTATTAGATATTTTGCATATTACACAGGAAGAAGAGTTTGAATCTCAGATAAAAACAATAAAAATACATGAAAAGTCTTTCATGTTAGCACAGATTTTAGGCATCTCGTGTTCGGGAGGTTGGATCTGAGACGTGTTTTGAGTTGGTCATAGTGAAGGACGCGAGGTGTCAATTCTAGTGAGAGCAATTTCCAGGAAGCCATGTTCCGCTCTTGAGCGAGCACCCACTGGGCCTCATGCAAGGTAGAAAGAGCCTGCGTACGTCACCCTCCCATGATGTGGTCAACATGTAAACTGCATGGGCAGGGCGCCAAATAACATCCTGTGCGCTGCTGAGCTGAGCTGGGGCGCGGCCGCCTGTCTGCACCGGCAGCACCATGTCGCTCATGGTCGTCAGCATGGCGTGTGTTGGTGAGTCCTGGAAGGGAATCGAGGGAGGGAGTGCGGGGATGGAGATCTGGACCTGGAGGTAAAGATATGGGCCTAGAGGTGGAGTTATGGGCCTAGAGGTGGAGTTATGGGCCTGAAGTGGAGATCTGGGCCTGGAGTGGAGATCTGGGCCTGGAGTGGAGATCTGGGCCTGGAGTGGAGATAGGGGCCTGGGGTGGAGATATGTGCCTGGAGTGGAGATCTGGGCCTGGAGTGGAGATATGGGCCTGGGGTGGAGATATGTGCCTGGGGTGGAGAGATGGGCCTGGAGGGGAGATATGGGCCTGGAGGGGAGATGTGGGCCTAGAGGTGGAGTGATGGGCCTAGAAGTGGAGCGATGGGCCTGGAGTGGAGATATGGGCCTGGAGGTGGAGTTAGGGGCCTGCAGTAGAGATATGGGCCTGAAGTGGAGATATGGGCCTGGAGTGGAGATATGGGCCTAGAGGTGGAGTTATGGGCCCGGAGGTGGAGTTAAGGGCATGAAGTGGAGATCTGGGCCTGGAGTGGAGATATGATCCTGGAGTGGAGATATGGGCCTGGGGTGGAGATACGGGCCTGGAGCAGACATACAAGCCTGGAAAGGAGATATGGGCCTGGAGAGGAGATAGAAGCCTGGAGTGGAAATATGGGCCTGGAGTGGAGATATGAGCCTGGAGTGGATATATGAGCCTGGAGTTGAGATAGGAGCCTGGAGTGGAGATATGGGCCTGGAGTGGACTTACCAGCCTGGAGAGGAGATATGGGCCTGGAGTGGAGATACGGACCTGGAGTGGAGATCTGGGCCTGTTGTGTAGATCTAGGCCTGGAGGTAGAGATCTGGGCCTGGAGGCTCAGTCTCTGCACAGCCGAGATCCTTGTTCCTGGGGGCAGGTAGGCAGCGAGGGTGAGTTTACCTTCAGCCCAGCAAGGGCCTGGCTGCCAAGACGCACAGCCCAGTGGGGGCAGCAGGGTGCCCTGGTTTGCCTGCAGATGGATGGTCCATCATGATCTTTCTTTCTAGGGTTGTTCTTGGTCCAGAGGGCCGGTCCACACATGGGTGAGTCCTTCCCCAAACCTTAGGGTGTCATCTCCCCACATAAGAGGATTTTCCTGAAATGGGAGGGAAGTCCTGTCGGGGAGTCTCTCATACACTAGGAAGAGGGGACCCTCGGATGCTCGGCCCACATTTCTGACCTTGCCTTCCCCGGCCTTTCATTCCCTTTCCTGAGTCAAGCTCTGTGAAGACTGGGGTGAGACTAGGGTGCTCCAAGATGGGTGTGCAGGGAGGAAGTGGTGTCAGCAGCAGAGAAAGAGAGGGAAGCAGTGCTAGGAACAGCAGGTCCTCTGAGGACAAAGGTGTAACTCACACCCTCCAGCGTTTCCGTGATGGTAGGGGCTGCAGTGTGGCTGCGGTCTTTCTACCAGAAAAGGTGAGGAAACCACAGCCATGGCCCTGACATTCCAAATCCTCTGATGGGGGCTCAGTTCATCAATTGGCTGATATTCCATTCACATAGGACTTGCCCTCCATGCCGTGTCTACTTTGTGTTGTTTTATATGAGTAATTTTGCAGTATTAAAATCTAGTAAGAGTTGCTTCTCCAGCAACTTGCTCAAAGTTCTCAGCTGACACTTGTTGTAGGGAGACGCCAAGTCTATGCAGGATGGGTCCTTCCTGTAGCCCTGGGCACCCAGGTGTGGTAGGAGCCTTAGAAAGTGGAAATGGGGAGAATCTTCTGGGCACTGGGAGTGAGGGGCGGCTCCACATCCTCCTCTCTAAGGCAGTGCCTCCTTCTCCCCCAGGTGGTCAGGACAAACCCTTCCTGTCTGCCTGGCCCAGCGCTGTGGTGCCTCGAGGAGGACACGTGACTCTTCGGTGTCACTATCATCATAGGTTTAACAATTTCATGCTATACAAAGAAGACGGAATCCACATTCCCATCTTCCATGGCAGAATATTCCAGGAGAGCTTCAACATGAGCCCTGTGACCACAGCACATGCAGGGAACTACACATGTCGGGGTTCACACCCACACTCCCCCACTGGGTGGTCGGCACCCAGCAACCCCGTGGTGATCATGGTCACAGGTCAGAGGCTTTCCGTCTGGGCTTCTCACTGTCCCACCTCCTGAATCCCAGAGCTTCTGGTGGGGGTGTCCGTCAGGGTCCCATCACCCAGGCCCTGACTGTATTTGGGGTCAAGGGAGATTGAATACAGGGGAAATGGGTGCTGTGGTGGGAAGAATCACTGTCCCCAATGATGGCTACATTGTAATCCCTGGAGCCTGTGACTATTTATGTTACAGGGCAGGGGACTGAAGGGGAAGGTGGAGCTCAGGTTGTTGATGAGTTGACCTTGAGATGGGGAGACAGCCTGGACTGTCCCACTGGGCTCAGTGTAATCACAAGGGTCCACATGAGAGGTGGAGGAAGAGGGGAGTGGGGATTAGAGCAGTGTAGTGGGAGGGAGACGCTATCAGCCACTGCGGGCTTTGAAGGTGGAGAAAGACCACTAGTCACAGAATGCAGGTGGCCTCTAAGGGCTGGAGAAGTCAAGAGAACTGATTCGCTGATTCTCCAGAGGGAACGCAGCCCTGTAGACACCTTGATTTCAGCACAGGGAGAACTGGATCCAATTTCTGTCTCCAGAAGTGGAAGGGGTCAGTGTGTTCTCTCCCGCTGCCATGTTTGTGGTAATTTTCTGCAGCAGCAACAGGAAACCAACACAGGAACCCAGGTCAAGGACAAGTTAGGAAACCAAACAAGGATAGCCAGATGTGGTGGTGGGCGCGAGTAATCCAACGACTGGGGAGGCTGAGGCAAGAGAATCACTTGAACTGGGGATTTGTTCAAAAGAGATTGATTCAGGCTGCTGAGAGCCTGGACATGCAGCCTGTCCTCTTCCACCCCCACATAGACAGCAGGAAAGAGATTAGTGGGAAACAGATACAACAGCCCAAGAGATGAGGCTGTCTTCACAGTGGCAAGGGAGTCAGGGGCTACTGGAGACAGAGGGACAGAGAAGAGGGAGGAAGACAGATGGAGGCACCTGCACCAGGGGATATGGGCACAGAAAAGACACGGAGATGCAGAGAGGGAGGAGAGAGACAGACACGGGGAGGGGAACCCTCACTCATTCCAGGTGCCATGGATGGGATGATAAAGAGAGATGCCTTCTAAACTCACAACTTCTCTTTCTAGGAAACCACAGAAAACCTTCCCTCCTGGCCCACCCAGGTCCCCTGGTGAAATCAGGAGAGAGAGTCATCCTGCAATGTTGGTCAGATATCATGTTTGAGCACTTCTTTCTGCACAAAGAGGGGATCTCTAAGGACCCCTCACGCCTCGTTGGACAGATCCATGATGGGGTCTCCAAGGCCAATTTCTCCATCGGTCCCATGATGCTTGCCCTTGCAGGGACCTACAGATGCTACGGTTCTGTTACTCACACCTCCTATCAGTTGTCAGCTCCCAGTGATCCCCTGGACATCGTGGTCACAGGTGAGAGTGTCTAGACATTGTTCTCATTGTCACTGGGACACAGAGTGAATGATCCAGGACTTGGAACCCCCAGGTGGTCATGAGGAAGATAAGTGTGGGATTCTTACGGAAAGAGAGTGACTTGGTGAGGTCTGTACCAACAGAGACAGAGAAACAGCAGACATAAGTACAGAACAGGTGTCATAACAGAGGACAGACACAGGGGCCATACAGGGAGGTAGAAAAGAGAGAAAGAGGTAAAGGAGACACTCAGACAGACAGACATGTCCCAGAGAGAGGTGTCCTTCCATGCTGACTTTGCTCAGAGACCTGGCACAGGTTAGAAGTTTCATTTCTGTTTTACCTCCACAAAGTGTTCCTACCAGAAGAACCCAAGGACACCCATATTTCTGACCTGAGTTGGGCCCTGTGGCCTCAGGCCTTGTGCCACCTACAGATGCCGTGTTTATTCTGACACCTCTGCCTTCCATGCAATGGAGAGTAATCATCCCAGGATATCATGGCCCCTGAACACCAACCCCTGTATGCTGTGTGAACTTGGGGTCCCCAGACTGGATTCTGAGGCTCATATTCCAAATAATCCCACATATGATAGGATCGCTGAGAGACACAGAGAAAAATCAGGGACACCAAAAAGCAAAGACATAAACACACACAAAATGAGCCAGAAGAAGGAGATTAAGAGATTCACAGACACATAAAAAGAAAGAAAAGAGGGCAGAGTGGAGAGAATGATGGAAAGGAGGAGAGAAAAGCCCCAAAATCAGAACCCTGAGGGAGGGACACAAAGACAGAGAAAGATAAATATGTGGGGATGGATTGCAGAGATTCCAAATAGAACTAGAGAGACTGAGAGGCAGAGAAAGACAAGGAGACGGAGAGAGAGAGATGATAGATGGATAGATAGACGTAGATAGATGATAAATAGGTAGATGATAGATAATGGATTGGTTATAGATACATAGATGATGACTGATAGATGATACATAGAGATGACGATGATGATGATAGACACGTAGATATATACATAGATGATACATAAATAGAGACAGAGAGGCAGACAGAGAGGTAATAGAGAGAGAGATAGATGATACATATATAGATAATAGATGATTGATGGATAGATAGACAGATAGACAATTGATAGAGAGATAGATAAGTGATACATAAATATAGATGATAGATAATTTGTAGATAGACACAAAATAGATAAATAGATAGAAATGTGCAGAAAGTTATGAACAAGACAGAAAGTGAGAGACTCAAAATTAAAGAAAAAGGAAGATCAAGTCAACCAATCCAAGGAGGGTCAGAGAGAATAAAACAATCCAAAAAGGGAAAACATACCTCAGGGTGGGGAATTGAGGTCATAGACCTAGAGAGACAGAAAAGGTAGAAGGAGGAAACAGATATGAAGAGAGATGGGGTGGAGGGTGAGAGAGAGAGAGAGAGCATTAGGTCATAGAGCAGGGGAGTGAGTTCTCAGCTCAGGTATGAGGGGAGCTATGACAAGGAAGAACCTCCCTGAGGAAACTGCCTCTTCTCCTTCCAGGTCCATATGAGAAACCTTCTCTCTCAGCCCAGCCGGGCCCCAAGGTTCAGGCAGGAGAGAGCGTGACCTTGTCCTGTAGCTCCCGGAGCTCCTATGACATGTACCATCTATCCAGGGAGGGGGGAGCCCATGAACGTAGGCTCCCTGCAGTGCGCAAGGTCAACAGAACATTCCAGGCAGATTTCCCTCTGGGCCCTGCCACCCACGGAGGGACCTACAGATGCTTTGGCTCTTTCCGTCACTCTCCCTACGAGTTGTCAGACCCGAGTGACCCACTGCTTGTTTCTGTCACAGGTGAGAAAAGCCCATATCTCTCTCATGTCCTATGATCCTAAATCCTTAGCTAAGGAGCTTCCTGCTGATGATGGAGAAAAGCATGGACAGATGCAGAGAGAAGACACAGCAGGTGTGAGGGCGGAGTCAGGGCGCAGGATGGCAGACAGGGCACCTCCAAACCCTCCTTCATGGCCTGCATGGAGGCCTCCGATCAGGGCTCCAGGCACCCAGGCAGATGGAGAAAGCGGTCAGGACAGACCCAGAGAAGGGGAGACTGGGCTTAGTTTGGGGAGATCAGAGGTTCCCTCAGCCCCTCAATCTTATCCATTTCCCAGAAGCCCATCATGGCCTCTCACCCACACAGAGAGATGTCATCACCAGCAACCCCTACACCCTTTTCTTTTCATTTTCAAAAATATTTATTGAGGTTAAATGTAACTATATAATTTACCAACTTTACCATTTTTAAAAGTAAAATCTAGTGGTCATAAATACCTTTATATGCTGGGTGTGGTGGTTCACGGTTGTAATCTCGGCGCTTTGAGAGGCCAAGGAAGGTGGATCATTTAAGATCAGGAACTCGAGATCACCCTGGCCAACATGTGGGAAATTCATCTTTACTAAACAGACAAGAAAAATTAGCCGAGCATGCCGGCATGCACCTGTAGTCCTAGCTACTTGGGAGGCTGAGGCAGGAGAAGCACTTAAAGCCAGGAGGCAGAGGTTGCACTGAGCCGAGATCATGCCACTGCACTGCAGCCTGGGAGACAGAGAGAGACTCTGTTTCTAAATAAATAAATACATCTATATTCTTTTTTTTGTTACCCTCCACCCTTCCCTTCCTGGCCTCTGGTGTCCACCATTGTATTCTCCACCTTCATGAGATCCACCTTTTATCTCCTTCATGTGGTGAGAAATGGGAATCTTTGTAATGACCTCCAGTTCCATCCATGTGGCTGCAAATGACAGGATGTTATTGTTTCTATGGATGAGTAGTCTCCACTGTGTGTGTGTACTACAGTTCTCTATCCATTCACCCACTGATAGGCAGGTAGGTTGACTCCACATCTTGGCTACTGTGAACAGTGCTGGAACAGTCATATGAGTGCAGATATCACTTCGATACACTGATGTCCTTTCCTTTGGATATAAACCCAGTAGTGAAATTGCTGGACACTATGAAAGTTCTCTTTTTTTTTTTTTCCTTTTTTGAGAAAGAGTTTCCCTCCTTAGTCCAAGCTGGAGTCTAAGTGGTGAGATCTTGGCTCATTGCAACCTGTGCCTCCTAGGTTCAAATGATTGTCCTGACTCAGCCTCCCTAGTAGCTGTGATTACAGGTGCACGCCACCATGCCTGGCTAATTTTTGTATTTTTTTAGCACAGACGGGATATCCCAATTTTGGGCAGGCTGCTCTCAAACTCCTGACCTCAAGTGAGGTGCCTGCCTCGGTTTCCCAAAGTGCTGAAGTTACAGGCATAAGCCACTATGCCCAGCCTCCTTTTAGTTTTTTAAAGAATTTCCATACTTTTCTCCATAATAGTTGTACTAATTTACATTCCTACCAACAGGGTACCAGGGTTCTCCTTTCTCTACCATCTTGCCAGCATTTGTTTTGCCTGTCTTGCAGTAAAAGCCATTTTACTTTACTTCATTTTATTTATTTATTTATGTTGAGATGGAGTTTCACTCATAGTCGCCCAGGCTGGAGTGCAAGGGTGTGATCTCAGCTCACTGCAACCTCCGCCTCCCGCGTTCAACTGATTCTCCTGCCTCAGCCTCCAAAGTAGCTGGGATTACAGGCATGTGCCACCACGCCTAGCTAATTTTTGTATGTTTAGTAGAGAGGGAGTTTCTCCATGATGGTCAGGCTGGTCTCCCGACCTCAGGTGATCCGCCCACCTCCGCCTCCTGAAGTGCCGGAATTACAGGCGTGAGCCACCGGCCTAAAAGGCATTTTAATGGGATGAGATGAAAACTCATCGCGATTGTAATTTACATTTCTCTGATGATGAGTGATGCCGAGTACTTTTTCATATACGTGATCGCCATTTCTATGTTTTGTTTGTGGAGAAATGTCTCCTCATGTCTTTTGCTCTTTTTTTGAATTAAATTGTTTTATTGAGTTGTTTGAGCTTCTTATATTTCCAGTTATTAATCCCGTCTCAGATGAATAGTTTGCAAATATTTGCTCCTATTTTGTCGGTTGTCTCTTCACTTTCTTGGTTTATCTTTTGTGGTGCAGAAGTTGCTTGGTTTGATGTAATCCTAATGGTCTATTTTTTGCTTTGATTACTTGTGTTTTGAAGGTTTTAAACAAAATGTCTTTCGTCAGACAAATGTCTTCCCCATTATTTTCTTCTACATGTTTCATAGGTTCAGGCCTTAGACTCATGTTTTTAATCCATTTTCATTTGATTTTTGTGTAAGGTGACAGGTATAGATGCAGTTTTATTCCTCTGCATGTAGATATCCAGTTTTCCCCACACCATTTATTGAAAAGACTGTCCTTTCCTGATTGTAAGTTCTCGGCACCTTTGTCAAAGTCCATTAAATGGGCTGGGTATGGTGGCTCACACCTGCAATTCCAGCACTTTGGGAGGCCGAGGCGGATGGATCACCTGAAGCCAGGAGTTCAAGACCAGGCTGGCCAACAGAGTGAAACCTCGTCTCTACTAAAAATACAAAAATTAGCTGAGCATGGTGACCAGTGCCTGTAATACCACTACTCGGGTGTTTGAGGCAAGAGAATTGCTTGAATCCAGGAAGTGGAGGTTGCATTGAGCTGAGATTGCACCTCTGCACTCCAGCCTGCATGACAGAGCAAGATTCTATCACACACACACAAAAAAAAAGCCATTGGATGTAAATGCATGGATTATATCTGTGTTCTCCATTCTGTTCCATTTTTTATGTGCCTTTCTTTATGCCAATGTCATGCTGTTTTGCTTACTACAGCTCTGTAACATATTTCTAAGTCAGGTAGTGTGATGCTCCTGTTTTCTCTTTATACCTTCAAGTCTCAAGACAGTGGGCATCGCACACAAAAATTATGGAGAAGAGGATCCCAAGACTCCCAGGGTCCAACATTAGATAACAGAGTGTTGGCCATGAACCAACCTCAAAGATTTCCATTGAGTAGAGGACAAGCACCCTCATTTCCTCACATCTCTCCTGTCCCGTGTTCTAGGAAACCCTTCAAGTAGTTGGCCTTCACCCACAGAACCAAGCTCCAAATCTGGTGAGTAAAGGACCCCTCTTATCTCTGCTTTTGGAAACCTGGGGAGGTGGAAGCCTTGGATGCAAGTGTTGGCTCAAACCTCCCAGCTCTGTGAATGAGGGCCTGTCTTTCACCATCTCTGAACTCCAGACACTCCAACAGTGAAAGGGATCTAGGGCCACCAAAGGGCTCAGCGAAGTCTCTTAACCTTTAATGTCCTGCAGGTGAGACCTCCTACAAGCTAGAAGAATGATTGCCAATCTGACATCCTTCTCAGGAAACATGCAGTGTTTTTTCTTCCTGCATTCCTAACTGGAGGATAAATTCCTGGGGACTTGAGAGAGGGAAGGGAAGGGAACATCTGATGAGGGCGAGGTGTTTTAGAGAAGTTCCACTTGCCAAGGAATGAATTACTGTTGGTCATGAAGCAACCCTGGCTGACTCAGCAGAGCAACAGCCTTGCCGTAATAGAGAACAGAGCTCATGCACGCACACTTCGACTCACTGACTCATTCAGCCACAGCCCCATGCTCAGGCTGTGCAGTTGGAATCCTTTCCTATTGTTGCCATAACAAATTTCCACAAGATTCGTGGGTGAAAACAAAGCGGCTTTTTAATTATCTTACAGTGCTGTAGCTCAAAGTATGAAGTGCATCTCACTGGGCTAAAAACAAGGTGACAGCAAGGCTGCCTTCCCTTGCCTGAGGATTCCAGGCAAGAATCTGCTTCTCACTTGTCCCATCTTATAAAGGCTCCCAGTTCCTTGGCTCCTGGTCCCCTTCCTCCTTCCTCAAAGCCCACAAAGGCTGGTCACATCTCACATGGCATCACTCAGACCCTTCTTCCTTACCACACCTCTTTCTCTGAATGCTGCTCTCCCTTCTTCCTTATCTTTTGAAAACTTGGGGATTCTATTGGGTTCACCAAGATGAAAATCCATCATAATCTCCTGGAAATCATTCAGGATACCCTTGTTTTAAGTTCAGCTGACTAGCAACCGTAATTCCATCTGCAATCTTCATTCCTTCTTTCCATGTAAAATAACATATTCACAAGCTATGGAGGCCAGGACAGGGACATTTTGGGGTGGGACAGCATTCTCCTGCCTTCCACGAACGGTGAACAAGATGCATTTGGCCTCTGCTCTTGGGACACTGATATTGCAGATGGTTAAATGGGAGGGCAGAAAATGAATGCACAAGTGGACCAATAAATGAATGATCCATTGGGAAGCATCTGTGTATGAAATCTATTTGTTTGTTCGTTCATTTATTTATTGAGACAGAGTCTCCCTCTGTCTTCCAGGCTACAGTGCAGTGTCACGATCTTGGCTCACTGCAACCTGCGTCTCCTGGATCCAAGTGATTCTCCTGCCTCACCCTCTCGAGTAGCTGGGATTACAGGCAACTGCCACCATGCCCGGCTAATTCTTTTTGTATATTTTTTGTAGAGAGGATGTTTCACCATATTGGCCAAGCTTGTCTGAAACTCCCAACCTCAAGTGATCCGACCATCTCAGCAACCCAAAGTACTGGGATTACAGGCGTGAGCCACTTTGCCCAGCCAGAATTCAAAATAAATAATAGATAATGCTGAGTGTATAATTTTGGGTGACAGAGAAGGTCTCACTAATCAGATATTTGTGACATTAATGAAAAACACGGATTGAACCCCTGAAAGATTGGCGGAAGGATTTTCCACACAGCTGTCAGCTGTGAAGGCACAAAGGTGAAAACAATCTGATGTTGAAGGAAGAGGCTCTGACTCAAATGCTGGGAATGAAGTGGGGAGAATGACAAGACGACTGTGGAGAGACGGAGAGCACACTGGGTACACAGGAAACTAAGGAGCAACAAGGAGTGTGTGTTTGACACTCACAGCCATTGGATTCACCTCGGGGTAACCAGGAATCCCTACATGATTAATATGACTGACATGAAAATAAGGGAGGCCCAGGTGCGTAACTGGAATCTAGGAGACCGTGGAAAAGGCAATTGCCGCCCCACTGGTGAAATGTGGTGCTGATTTAGACCCTAAGTGGATGAAGCAGATGGATATAAGCTATGTTTGGGAGGTAGAATCATTTGCAGGGAGGGCTTGCTGGGTTTGAGTTTCCTAGTTGTTTAATCCTTGCTAAATTAATTTCTTTCTGAGATTTATTCCTCCTACACATAAATCAATACCTGGCAAAGGAGTGACAGATATATGAGGGGTGGTGGAAATGAAGGGACCTATTATAGCATAATATACAAGTCTGTGAACGGTGGCTCACTCCTGTAACCCAGCACTGCAGGAGGCTAAGGCCAGTGGATTCCAAGAAATCAGGAGTTCGAGACCAGCCTGGCCAACATGGTGAAACCCTATCTCTACATGGTGAAACCCTATCTCTCCTAAAAATACAAAAATTAGCCGAGCATGGTGGTGCATCCCTGTAATCCCAGCTCCTGCTCTGGAGGATGAAGCAGGAGAATGACTTCAACCCAGGAGGTGGAGGTTGCAGTGAGTGGAGATCGCATCACTGCACTCCAGCCTGGGTGACACAAGGAGACTCCATCTCAAAAAATAAAAATAAGAAATGCATAAATATAATAAAACACACACGAATGACAAAGGCACCTGAATTCCCATCATCATTTTTCTATTTCTCTATAATTACTTCTTTGATCCTTTATCTTATCCATTAGGCAATCAGCCTAAAACCTCTTCCGTATTTGGCTTTCTGTGAGCATGAGATCATATAGAAAATGTGAAAGCCCGCTGAATCCTCCAGCACAAATCCTGGAATAGAGAAAGTGCTCTGGTCATCACAAAAAAAACTTGCCCCCTCACCCAAATCCCCCACCTCACCCCTACTTCCAATCACCTGTGGAGATACAGATAGATCATGGGGAGGTAAATGCTCATACTCCTTGGAGTGAGTCCAGATCTTGGAATCAGAGATCTGTCCCAGCACTAGCTCCTGCTCCCCTTTCCTACTAATTCACAGGAGGACAGGTGGTATTGAAGCAATAGATAGTCGAGGGGGTGGTCCTTCCCCCAGCCTCTCAGGTAGAACAGCAGCCTAACATGTGTCTCCCGAGATCACAAAGAGTAGCACATTTCACACGGGCTTCAACACTATTTTCTGGCTGTTTGACATAAGAGAATTCTACTTCGCTTTTTTTATATTGATTTCACTTTTGTTTCCTTTTCTTGGAGAATGCAAGTTGTTTAACTCAAGAATGCCGTGGATGTAGAAATCCTAAAGCACATTCGCTGTGTATCAATCCCAGTCCAGTCTTCCCAGAGAAGACTCTAAACACCTCCTGGACTGCACCTGGGCCTATGCCAATTCCTATCACTCACCGTCACTCCAGGGAGACAGAACACACAGAGAATACGTTACATAGGCAGGTTCATTACTAACAGATAAGCAGCGAGTGACAACAGAAGCCTACATTTCAATGTGAGCCAGTTCCCCAAGGCTCAGAAAAGCTGCTCGAGACATGTGGAGTCACCCCATTTGCAGTGTAGCTGGGGGAAGCCAGAAAGCAGCCCAGCCTGGGTTTTGTACCCTGGAGCCACAGGAAGCACTCAGCTAAAGCACTGCATGACGTCCTCCTCCAGGAAGAACAGGAAGACAGCCCAGGCTGTTCTGGGACGATCCTCCTGATCTCAGGACTTTGCTGTCTTAGTCCATTTTTGTTGCTCTAAAGGAACACTTGAGCCTGGGTAACTTCTAAAGAAGAGATTGGTTTGCCTCACCATTCTGCAGGCTGTACTGGAAGCATGGCACCAGCATCTATTTCTTATGATGGCCTCAGGCCGCTCCCACTCTGGCAGAAGGGAAGGAGAGTCTGTCTGTGCAGAGACCACAGAGATCACACGGCAAGAGAGGGAGCAAGGGGGAGGGGGAGCAATGGAGCTTCCAAGCTCTTTTTAACAACCAGCTCTCCAGGAACTAATAGAGAGGGAACTTGCTAACCCCGTCTCCTTGGGACAGCATTGATCTGTTCATGATGGATCCACCTCCATGACCCAAACACCTCCCAAGAGGCCCAACCTCCCACACTGGGGGTTAAATTTCAATGTGAGGTTTGAAGGGGTCAAACATCTCAACTAAAGTAGTTGTATCCTCAGCACGTTCCATGCTTACTATGAGAGCTATAACTGAGAAAGCAGGAGGAAGCTAGGTCTCCCGCCATCTGGGTGCTTGTCCGAAAGAGATGCTGTAAGTGGTTACCTGTCAATCAAGAAATGCAAGACAATTCATATAGAGAATCTGCTATGATTAGCTTCTTACTGGTGTCTCCTCTTCTTCCAGGTAACCCCAGACACCTGCATGTTCTCATTGGGACCTCAGTGGTCATCATCCTCTTCATCCTCCTCCTCTTCTTTCTCCTTCATCTCTGGTACTCCAACAAAAAAAGTAAGTCTCACGCGGCACAGGCCAGAGAGCTCAGGGCCATGTGGGGAAGCAGGATGGGAGCACACAGCTGTGTGTTCCTCACTGGCAGGATGGTCCCTGGCCCAAGGCAGCAGCCACAGAGGCAGGACTTTCTAGAGAGAGCACCAGACTCCCTGCCCCTGCCTTCAGCTCACAGACCGTTGCCTGATTCTGAACTGTATCCTCATGTCCCCCGCAGCCACTCACATCCAGGAGAAGGTTCCATGACAGGCAGAAAGTGGGAGATAGAATCAATGGGATGGGAACTCAGAGCTATTCATGGGATGGGTCCTTGAGCTCAGAGAGATAGAATGTCTGAGTCTGCTGTTGGCAACTGAGGGACCTCAGGCACCTATGGCCTCCCCCTGTTTGTTGGTATCTGCTTATGAAATGAGGACCCAGAAGTGCCCTCCGAGCTCTTTTGTTGACTTCCGTCTCCTACAGATGCTGCTGTAATGGACCAAGAGCCTGCAGGGAACAGAACAGCCAACAGCGAGGTAGGTGCTCCTCGGCCCAGCCTCGTGGCTAGTGTTATTCCCAAACAGTCCTGGAAAACGTGAGCACCCTCCCTCACTCAGCATTTCCCTCCCTCACTCAGCATTTCCCTCTCTCCAGGACTCTGATGAACAAGACCCTCAGGAGGTGACATACGCACAGTTGGATCACTGCGTTTTCACACAGAGAAAAATCACTCGCCCTTCTCAGAGGCCCAAGACACCCCCTACAGATACCATCTTGTACACGGAACTTCCAAATGCTAAGCCCAGATCCAAAGTTGTCTCCTGCCCATGAGCACCACAGTCAGGCCTTGAGGGCGTCTTCTAGGGAGACAACAGCCCTGTCTCAAAACCGAGTTGCCAGCTCCCATGTACCAGCAGCTGGAATCTGAAGGCCTGAGTCTTCATCTTAGGGCATCGCTCCTCCTCACGCCACAAATCTGGCCTCTCTCTTGCTTACAAATGTCTAGGTCCCCACTGCCTGCTGGAAAGAAAACACACTCCTTTGCTTAGCCCACAGTTCTCCATTTCACTTGACCCCTGCCCACCTCTCCAACCTAACTGGCTTACTTCCTAGTCTACTTGAGGCTGCGATCACACTGAGGAACTCACAATTCCAAACATACAAGAGGCTCCCTCTTGACGTGGCACTTACCCACGTGCTGTTCCACCTTCCCTCATGCTGTTTCACCTTTCTTCGGACTATTTTCCAGCCTTCTGTCAGCAGTGAAACTTATAAAATTTTTTGTGATTTCAATGTAGCTGTCTCCTCTTCAAATAAACATGTCTGCCCTCATTGCTTCAGGTAATGTGACACTGTATTCGCTGAAAGAAACCGCTGTTATCATTACCATGTCCACATAACCCCATCTGTTCTCCGCTAGGTTCTCACCCCTGGACTCTGAGCTTCTGGAAGCAGGGTGGAGCCTCATTTGTCTCTGGGACTCCAATTTCCATCCAAAGATGCAGCACATAGGAGGTTCCAAGGATCGTGAATCACATGAACAAGTGATATTCTTACTCTCTGCAACCTGGAAAGCTGGCAGAGTCATTCCACGATGAAACATTTGTAGAGTCATAAGCCTTGCTAGTCTCATCTCCACGGGGACACATATCAACACATCATATTTCATACTATAAATATACAGTCGCTCCTCCATATCTGTGGGGTTTACAGGTGTTTATTGAACCAAGTGTAAATCAAAAATATTCAGAGAAAATGTCCACAAAGTTTCAAAATGCAAAACTATGTTGAATGGACACAAATGAGGCAGTGTGTAGGCTGTATCAGGAATTATAAGTAATCAAGAGATGATTTCATGTATACAGGAGGATGTGCATGGGTTATATCCAAATGCTGTGTCATTTTATGTAAGAGGCTTGAGCATCTGCAGATTTTGGTACCTGAGTGGAGATCCTGAAACCAATCACCCACGAATAGTAAAGGATGACCGTATATGACTTTTATTTCTCAATTTTAAATATAAATCATAAAAAATGTACAATAACTAGATAAAAAGTAAGAAGTGTTTTTATAGTGTGAGAATAAGTTTAGATTTATTTTTTCCTACGTGTAACCCTTTGGTTTAATATTATTTATTGAGAAGACATTCTATGCCACCTTAAACCACACGGCAGCCTTTGTCAACTCTAAAGGGACTGTGTGTACACGGATGTATTTTAGACACTGTTTCTGCTAAGGGGCTCTCTGTGTCCACACTCTTGAGGATGCTGCACTTCATGTAGCCTTATAAAACCCTTTAAATTTAGTAGCCAGAGCCCTCTAATTTGTTATTATAGGCTACTTGCTATTTTTTTTTCTTGAGGCGGAGTCTTGCTCTGTCGCCCAGGCGGGACTGTAGTGGAGCAATCTCAGCTCACTGCAACTTCCGCCTCCCAGGTTCAGGCGATTCTCGTGCCACAGTCTCTTGAGTAGCTGGCGTTTCAGGTGCCTGCCACCAGGCATGGCTAATTTTTGAATTTTTAGCAGAGACGCGGTTTCACTGTGTTGGCCAGGCTGCTCTCAATCTCCTCATCTCAGTTGATCCGCCCACCTCGGCTTCCCAACCTGCTGGGGGAAACTTGATTTTCTATAGCATTATGTTACTGGATATTTCTGTAAAATTTAAAATGAGGGAGGCAGAGAGACAGAGAGAGAGCAAACTCCACAGTTGGGACTCTGGAATCTTGAGTCATGAGACAAATTATAGATAAAACTACAAAAATCCAGAATTTACATGTGTGGTTTTTGCTGATAAAGTACAATTCTAAGATTGTAAATAATTGCATAATCCTTCCCTGGGAATTTAAATCATTTGAACTGGTTCTGCTGTAATACTAGAAATACAAGCATGAACAATTCTAATGGTTTATTAGTCACAATGACTCTGAAAACACTAATAATACCTATTAGATATTTTGCATATTACACAGGAAGAAGAGTTCGAATCTCAGATAAAAACAATAAAAATTCATGAAAAGTCTTTCATGTTAGCACAGATTTTAGGCATCTCATGTTTGGGAGGTTGGATCTAAGACGTGTTTTGAGTTGGTCATAGTGAAGGACGCGAGGTGTCAATTCTAGTGAGAGCAATTTCCAGGAAGCCATGTTCCGCTCTTGAGCGAGCACACACTGGGCCTCATGCAAGGTAGAAAAAGCCTGCGTACGTCACCCTCCCATGATGTGGTCAACATGTAAACTGCATGGGCAGGGCGCCAAATAACATCCTGTGCGCTGCTGAGCTGAGCTGGGGCGCGGCCGCCTGTCTGCACCGGCAGCACCATGTCGCTCATGGTCATCATCATGGCGTGTGTTGGTGAGTCCTGGAAGGGAATAGAGGGAGGGAGCGTGGGGATGGAGATCTGGGCCCAGAGGTGGAGATATGGGCCTGGAGGTGGAGTTATGGGCCTGGAGTGGAGATCTGGGCCTGGAGTGGAGATCTGGGCCTAGAGATGGAGTGATGGGCCTAGAAGTGGAGATCTGCGCCTGGAGTGGAGATCTGGGCCTGGAGTGAAGATCTGGGCCTGGAGTGGAGATATGGGCCTGGAGTGGGGATAGGAACCTGGAGTGGAGAGAGGAACCTGGAGGAGAGATAGGAACCTGGAGGGGAGGTAGGAGCCTAGGGTGGAGATATGGGACTGGAGTGGAGATATGGGACTGGAGTGGAGATATGGGCCTGGAGTGGAGTTATGGGCCTGGAGTGAAGTTATGGGCCTGGAGGTGGAGATATGGGCCTGGAGTGGAGATATGAGCCTGGAGTGGAGATATGGTCCTGGAGTGGAGATATGGGCCTGGAGTGGAGATATGGGTCTGCAGTGGAGATATGGGCCTGGAGGTGGAGATATGGGTCTGGAGTGGAGTTATGGGCCTGGAGTGAAGTTATGGGCCTGGAGGTGGAGATATGGGCCTGGAGTGGAGATATGGGACTAGAGTGGAGATAGGGGCCTGGAGGTGGAGATCTGGGCCTGGAGTGGAGATGTGGGCCTGGAGTGGAGATCTGGGCCTGGAGTGGAGATATGGGCCTGGAGTGGAGATATGGGTCTGCAGTGGAGATATGGGCCTGGAGGTGGAGATATGGGCCTGGAGTGGAGTTATGGGCCTGGAGTGAAGTTATGGGCCTGGAGGTGGAGATATGGGCCTGGAGTGGAGATATGGGACTAGAGTGGAGATACGGGCCTGGAGGTGGAGATCTGGGCCTGGAGTGGAGATATGGCCCTGGAGTGGAGATATGGGCCTGGAGTGGAGATATGAGCCTGGAGTGGAGATATGGCCCTGGAGTGGAGATATGGGCCTGGAGTGGAGATATGAGCCTGGAGTGGAGATATGGCCCTGGAGTGGAGATATGGGCCTGGAGTGGAGATATGGGCCTGGAGTGGAGATATGGGTCTGGAGTGGAGATATGGGCCTGGAGGTGGAGATATGGGCCTGGAGTGGAGATATGGGCCTGGAGGTGGTGATATGGGCCTGGAGTGTAGATATGGGCCGAGTGGAGATATGGGTCTGGAGTGGAGATATGGGCCTGGAGTGGAGATATGGGACTGGAGTGGAGATATAGGCATGGGGTGGAGACATGGGCCGGGAGTGGAGATATGGGACTGGAGTGGAGATACGGACGTGGGGTGGAGATATGTGCCTGGAGGTGGAGATATGGGCGTGGGTTGGAGATATGGGCCTGGAGTGGAGATATGGGCGTGGGGTGGAGATATGGGTCTGGAGTGGAGACATGGGCATGGGGTGGAGATATGGGCCTGGTGTGTAGATATGGGCCTGGAGTGGAGATATGGCCCTGGAGTGGAGATATGGGCCTGGAGTGGAGATCTGGGCCTACGGTGGAGATATGGGCCTAGGATGGGGATATGGGCCTGGAATGGAGATATGGGCCTGGGTGTGGAGATATGGGACTGGAGTGGAGATATGGGCCTGATGTGGAGATATGGGCTTGGAGTGGAGATATGATCCTGGAGTGTAGTTATGGGCCTGGAGGTGGAGATCTGGGCCTGGGGTGGAGATATGGGCCTGGAGTGGAGATATGGGACTGGAGAGGAGATATGGGCCTGGAGTGGAGATATGGGCCTGGATTGGAGATATGGGCCTAGGGTGGAGATCTGAGCCTGGATTGGAGATGTGGGCCCGGATTGGCTATATGGGTCTAGGGTGGAAATATCGGCCTGGAGTGGAGATATGGGCCTGGAGTGGAGATATGGGCTTGGGGTGGGGATATGGGCCTGGAGGCTGGGTCTCTGCACAGCCGAGAGCACTGTTCTTGGGTGCAGGTAGGCACTGATGGTGAGTTTCCCTTCGGCCCAGGAAGGGGCTGGCTATCAAGACTCACAGCCCAGTGGGGGCAGCAAGGAAGGCCTTGTTTGCCTGCAAATGGATCTTCCATCATGATCTTTCTTTCCAGGGTTCTTCTTGCTGCAGGGGGCCTGGCCACAGGAGGGTAAGTCCTTCTCCAAACCTTAGGGTGTCATCTCCCCACATAAGAGGATTTTCCTGAAATGGGAGGGAAGTCCTGTCAGGGAGTCTCTCATAAACTAGGAAGAGGGGACCCTGGGGTGCTCGGCCCACAGTTCCGACCTTGCCTCCCTGGCCTCTCAACCCCTTGGCAGAGTCAAGTTGTGTGGGGACCAGGGTTGGACTAGGGTGTTCAAAGCTGGGTTGTGTGGTGGGGAAGTGGTAGGAACAGCAGATCCTCTGAGGACAAAGGTGTTACTCACACACTTCAGCGTTTCCATGACGGTAGGGGCTGCAGTGTGGCTGCTGTCATTCTACCAGAAGAGGTGGGAAACCACAGCCATGGCCCTGACATTCCAAATCCTCTGATGGGGGCTAAGTTTTTTATTCTCATTCAGGCAACTGCTGATATTCCATTCTCAAAGGACATGCCCTCCACTTCATGTCTACCCTGTGTTGTTTTATGTCAGTAATCTTACAGTATTAAAATCTAGTAGGAGTCTCTTACTCAGCACTTGCTCAAAGTTCTCAGCTGACACTTTTGTTGTACGGAGACACCTTGTCTTTGTGGGATGGGTCCTTCCTTTAGCCCTAGGCACCAAGGTGTGATAGCAGCCATAGAAATGTGGAAAGTGGGGAGAATCTTCTGAGCACAGGGAGGGAGGCACAGCTCCACATCCTCCTCTCTAAGGCGGCGCCTCCTTCACCCCAAGGTGGTCAGGACAAGCCCTTGCTTTCTACCTGGCCCAGCCTTGTGGTGCCTCCAGAACATGTGACTCTTCAGTGTCACTCTAATCTTGGGTTTAACAACTTCAGTCTGTACAAGGATGATGGGGTGCCTGTCCCTGAGCTGTACAACAGAATATTCTGGAAAAGCCTTTTCATGGGCCCTGTGACCCCGTCACATGCAGGGACCTATAGATGCCGGGGTTCACACACACACTCCCCCAGTGGGTGGTCGGCACCCAGCAACCCCCTGGTGATCATGGTCACAGGTCAGAGGGCTCCTGTCTGGGATTCTCCTTGTCCCACCTCCTGAATCCCAGAGCTTCTGGTAGGCATGTCCTTGAGGGTCCCATCACGCAGGCCCTAACTGTATTTGGGGTAAAGGGGGATTGAATACAGGGAAATGGGTGCTGTGGTGGGAAGAATAAGTGTCCCCAATGATGACTGCATTCTAATCCCTGGAGTCTGTGACTATTTATGTTATAGGGGAAGGGACTGAAGGGGAAGATGGAGCTCAGGTTGTTGATGAGTTGACCTTGAGATGGGGAGACAGCCTGGACTGTCCCGGTGGGCTCAGTATAATCACAAGTGTCCACATGAAAGGAGGAGGAAGAGGAGAGTGGGGATTAGAGCAGCGTAGTGGGAGACTCCATCAGCTTTGAAGGTGGATGAAGGCCATAAGCCATGAATGCAGGTGGCCTATAGAGGCTGGGAAAGTCAAGTAACTGATTCTCCTGAGTCTCCAGAGGGAACACAGCCCTGCAGATGCCTTGATTTTAGCCCTCGAAAAACAGGGTCCGCTTTCTGTCTCCAGAATCGGAGGGGGTCAGTGTGCTCTCTCCTGCTGCCATGCTTCTGATAATTTTCTACAGCAGCAACAGGAAACCAACACTGGAACCCAGGTCAAGGACAAGTTAAGAAAAGACACAAGGATAGCCAGGCATGGTGGCAGGTGCATGTAATCCTAGCGACTCAGGAGGCTGAGAGCAGGAGAATCGCTTGAACCCAGGAGACAGAGGTTGCAGTGAGCGTAGACCACACCACTTCACTCCAGCCTGGGCGAAGGAGTGAGACTCTGTCTCCAAAATTAATTAATTAATTAAAGAAACCAAACAAAGAGAAGGTTGGCTACACCGAGATCAGCAAGGGTGGGATGATGATGCCACCACCAGGCTCCATCCACATAGGGAGGGGTTGATACTCCTCAAATCAGCACGAGGAGCCAGCCTATGGAAACTGGCACCATGGAGAAGGCACAGACATGGCAAGAGTGGCTCCCAGTCCCCACCAGGAACAGGGTGTGTGGACACTGGTGCCTGCCTTACTGATCAGTTCATACCTCCTGCCAAGGATTCCAATTCGTCCAAAAGAGATTGAACCAGGCTGCTAAGAGCCGGGACGTGCAGCCTATCCTGCTTCCTCTTCCACTCCCACATAGACAGTAAGAAAGACATTAGTGTGAAATAGATACAACAGCCCAAGAGATGAGGCTGAGCCCAGTGGGAAGGGAACCACAGCTACTAGAGACAGAGGGACAGAGAAGAGGGAGGGAGACAGATGGAAGGACCTGCACCAGGAGTTATGGGCACAGAAAAGAACATGAAGACACAGAGAGGAAGCAGAGAGACAGACACCAGCGAAGGGAAGGCTCACTCATTCCAGGTGCCATGGATGGGATGATAAAGAGAGACACCTTCTAAACTCACAACCTCTCTTCCTAGGAGTCCACAGAAAACCTTCCTTCCTGGCCCTCCCAGGTCACCTGGTGAAATCAGAAGAGACAGTCATCCTGCAATGTTGGTCGGATGTCATGTTTGAGCACTTCCTTCTGCACAGAGAGGGGAAGTTTAACAACACTTTGCACCTCATTGGAGAGCACCATGATGGGGTTTCCAAGGCCAACTTCTCCATTGGTCCCATGATGCCTGTCCTTGCAGGAACCTACAGATGCTACGGTTCTGTTCCTCACTCCCCCTATCAGTTGTCAGCTCCCAGTGACCCTCTGGACATGGTGATCATAGGTGAGAGTGTCCAGACATTCTTCTCATTGTCATTGGGATGCAGAGTGAATGATCCAGGACTTGGAGACCCAGGTGGTTGTAAGGAAGATGAGCTTGGTATTCTTATGGAGAGAGACTGACTTGGTGAGGTCTGTGCCAACAGAGACAGAGAAACAAGAGACACAAGTACAGACCAGGTGTCGTAACAGAGGACAAACACAGGGGCCATACAGGGAGTTAGAAAAGACAGAAAGAGTTAAAGGAGACAGACAGACATGTCCCAGACAGAGGTGTCCTTCCATGCTGACTTTGCTCAGAGACCTGGCACAGGTTAGAAGTTTCATTTCTGTTTTACCTCCACAAAGTGTTCTCTACCAGGAGAACCCAAGGACACCCATATTTCTGACCTGAGTTGGGCCCTGTGGCCTCAGGCCTTGTGGCACCTACAGATGCCATGCTTATTCTGACACCTCTGACTTCCATGCAATGGAGAATAATCGTCCCAAAATATCATGGCCCCAGAACACCAACCCCTGTATGCTGTGTGAACTTGTGGTCTCCAGACTGGATTCTGAGGCTCACATTCCAAATAACCCCACATATCACATATGAGAGGATCACTGAGAAGCACAGAGAGAAATCAGGGACACCAAAAAGCAAAGACATAAACACACAGAGAAAGAGCCAGAGGAAGGAGATTGAGAGACTCACAGACACATAAAGAGAGAGAAGAGGGCAGAGAAGTGGAGAGAATGATGGAAGAGAGCAGAGAAAACCACTAAAATTAGAGTCCTGAGGGTGAGGCACAAGGGCATAGAAAGATGGAGATGTGGGGATGAATTGCAGAGATTCCAAAGAGAACTAGAGAGACCGAGAGGCAGAGCAAGACAGATGATAGATGGATAGATACAGATAGATGATGGATAGATATAGATAGATGATATATAGGTAGATGATAGATAATAGGTTATAGATACATAGATGATGATTGATTGATTCATTAATAGATGATACATAGAGATGATGATGATGAAGATAGATGGATAGATAATACATAGAGATAGAGAGGAAGACAAAGAGAGAAATAATAGAGAGAGAGAGATGATACATATATATAGATAATAGATGATTGACGGATAGACAATTGATAGATAAATAGATGATATATAGATATAGATGACAGGTAGAGAATTTGTAGATAGGCACCGAATAGATAAATAGATGGATTGATAGATAATAGATAGAAATATGCAGAAAGTTATGAACGGGACACAAACTGAGAAACTCAGAGTTAAAAAAAGTAACATCAAGTCAACCAATCCAAGGAGAGCCAGAGAGAATAAAACAATCCAAAAACGGAAAACATAACTAGAGGTAGGGAAGTGAGGTCAGAGACCTACAGAGACAGAGAAGGTGGAAGGAGGAAATAGACATGAAGAGAGATGGGGTGGAGGGTGAGACAGAGAAAGAGAGCATTAGGCCATAGAGCAGGGGAGTGAGTTCTCAGGTCAGGTGTGAGGGGAGCTGTGACAAGGAAGATCCCCCCTGAGGAAACTGCCCCTTCTCCTTCCAGGTCTATATGAGAAACCTTCTCTCTCAGCCCAGCCGGGCCCCACGGTTCAGGCAGGAGAGAATGTGACCTTGTCCTGCAGCTCCATCTATCCAGGGAGGGGGAGGCCCATGAACGTAGGCTCCCTGCAGTGCGCAGCATCAACGGAACATTCCAGGCCGACTTTCCTCTGGGCCCTGCCACCCACGGAGGGACCTACAGATGCTTCGGCTCTTTCCGTGACGCTCCCTACGAGTGGTCAAACTCGAGTGATCCACTGCTTGTTTCCGTCACAGGTGAGGAAACCCCATATCTGTCCCATGTCCTATGATCCTAGAGCCTTAGCTGAGGAGCTTCCTGCTGATGATGGAGAGAAGCATGGACAGATGCAGAGAGAAGACGCAGCATGCCTGTAAGGGAGGGATCAGGGCGCAGGATGGCACACACAGCACCTCCAAACCCTCCTGCATGGCCTGCATGGAGGCCTCCGATTAGGGCTCCAGGCACCCAGGCAGATGTAGAAAGCGGTCAGGAGAGACCCAGAGAAGGGGAGACTGGGCTCAGTTTGGGGAGATCAGAGGTTCCCTCAGCCCCTCAACCTTACCCATTTCCCAGAAGCCCTTCCTGGCCTCTCACCCACACAGAGATGTCATCACCAGCAACCCCTACATCCTTTTCTTTTTGTTTGAAAAAATATTTATTGAGGTTAAATATACCTATATAGCTTACCACTTTTAACATTTTTTTTTTTTGAGGTGGAGTCTAGCTCTGTCTCCTATGCTGGAATGCAGTGGCACAATCTCAGCTCACTGTAACCTCCGCCTCCTGGGTTCAAGCGATTCTCCTGCCTCAGCCACCTGAGTAGCTGGTACTACAGGCGCCCATCACCACGCCAGGCTACTTTTTGTATTTTTAGTAGAGAGGGGGTTTCACCATGTTGGTCGAGCTGCTCTGGAACTCCTGACCACGTGATCCACCCGCCTCAGGCTCCCAAAGTGCTGGGATTACAGGCATGAGCCACCGCGCCCGGCCACGTTTACCAATTTTAAGTGTAAGGTCTAGTGGTCATAAATACATACATATAAATTTTTTGTTTGTTTGTTTTATCCTCCACCCTTTTCTTCCTGGCCTCTGGTAGCCACCATTCTACTCTCTATCTTCATGAGATCCACCTTTTAGCTCCTGTATATGGGTGAGAAATGAGAATATTTGTAATGACTTCCAGTTCCATCCATGTGGCTGCAAATATCAGGATGTTATTCTTTCTATGGATGAGTAGTCTCCGCTGTGCGTATGTACTACATTCTCTCTATCCATTCATCCACTGATGGGCAGGTAGGTTGACTCCACATCTTGGCTACTGTGAAGAGTGCTGCACCAATCATACGAGTGCAGATATCACTTCGATACATTGATTTACTTTCCTTTGGATATAAACCCAGTAGTGAAATTGCTGGATACTATGAAAGTTCTCTTTTTAGTTTTTCGTTTGTTGTTTTGTTTTTGTTTTTGAGACAGTTTCCCTCTGTGCCCAGGCTGGAGTACAAGTGATGTGATCTTGGCTCATTGCAACCTCCGCCTCCTGGGTTCAAATGATTTTCCTGCCTCAGCCTCCCTAGTAGCTGGGATTACAGGTGCACGCCACCATGCCGGGATACTTTTTGGTTTTTTTTAGTGTACATGGGGTTTCCCCAGGTTGGCTAGGCTGCTCTCAAACTCATGACCTCAACTGAGGTGCCCGCCTCGGTCTCCCAAAGTGCCGGGATTACAGGCATGATCCACTTCATCCAACCTCTTTTTAGTTCTTTAAAGGACTTCCATACTTTTCTCCGTAATGGCTGTACTAATTTACACTCCTACCAACAGGGTACCAGGGTTCTCCTTTCTCTACCACCTTGCCAGCATTTGTTTTGCCTGTCTTGCAGCTAAAAGCCATTTTATTTTATTTCATTTTATTTTGAGATGGAGTTTCGCTCTTGTCACCCAGGCTGGAGTGCAGTGGTGCGATCTCGGCTCACCGCAACCTCCACCTCCCAGGTTCAAGCGATTCTCCTGCCTCAGCCTCCCGAGTAGCTGGAATTACAGGCACACGCCACCACGCCCGACTAATTTTTGTATTTTTAGTAGAGACAGCGTTTCTCCATGTGGGTCATACTGGTCTCAAACTCCCGACCTTATGAGATTCGCCCACCTCGGGCTCTCAGAGTTCTAGGATGACAGACGTGAGCCACCTCGCCCGGCCTAAAAGCCATTTTAATGGGGTGAGATGAAAACTCACTTTGATTTTAATTCGCGTTTCTCTGATGATGAGTGATACTGAGCACTTTTTCGTATGTGGGGAAATTTCATGTCTTTTGCTCCTTTTTCAATTAAATCATTTGTTTTATTGAGTTGTTTGAGCTTCTTATACTTCTAGTTACTAATCCCGTCTCAGAAGCATAGTTTGCACATATTTGCTCCCAATCTGTGGGTTGTCTCTTCACTTTGTTGGTTTATTTTTAGCGGTGCAGAAGTTGCTTAGTTTGAGGTAATCCCAATGGTCTATTTTTGCTTCAATTACTTGTGTTTTGAAGGTTTAAAACAAAATGTCTTCCTTCAGACAAATGTCCTGGAGCATTTCCCCAATATTTTCTTCTACGTGTTTCACAGGTTCAGGCCTTAGACTCACATCTTTAATCCACTTTCATTTGATTTTTGTGTATGGTGACAGGTAGAGGTGCAGTTTCATTCCTCTGCATGTAGATGTCCAGGTTTCCCTGCACTGTTTATTGAAAAAACTGTCCTTTCCTGATTGTGAGTTCTTGGCACCTTTGTCAAAGTCCATTGGATGGGCTGGGCATGGTGGCTAACACCAGCAACTTCAGCACTTTGGGAGGCCAAGGCTGGTGGATCACCTGAGGACAGGAGTACAAGATTACTCTGGCCGACGTGATGAAACATCGTCTCCACTAAAAATATAAAAATTAGCTGAGCATGGTGGTCAGCACCTGTAATACTACTACTCAGGAGTTTGAGGCAAGAGAATTGATTGAACCCAGGAGGCTGAGGTTGCAGTGAACCGAGATTGCACCTCTGCACTCCAGCCTGGGTGACAGAGCGAGACTCCATCTCAAAAGAAAAAATAAAAAAAATTGGATGTAAATGCATGGATTATATCTGTGTTCTTCATTCTGCTCCGTTGTTCTATGTGCCTTTCTTCATGCCAACATCATGCTGTTTTGCTTACTACAGCTCTGTAACATA
The DNA here is from genome assembly GCF_000001405.40 of Homo sapiens. NCBI lineage: Eukaryota > Metazoa > Chordata > Mammalia > Primates > Hominidae > Homo > Homo sapiens. The sequence continues at coordinate 26,411 of NT_187684.1, read as the reverse complement.
TTTTGAGATCAGGTAGTGTGATGCTCCTGTTTTCTCTTTATACCTTGAAGTCTCAAGACAGTGGGCGTCACATACAAAAATTATGGAAGAAAGGATCCCTGGACTCCCAGGGCCCAATGTTAGATAACAGAGTGTTGGCCATGAACCATCCTCAAAGATTTCCATTGAGTAGAGGACAGACACCCGCATTTCCTCACCTCTCTCCTGTCTCATGTTCTAGGAAACCCTTCAAATAGTTGGCCTTCACCCACTGAACCAAGCTCCAAAACCGGTGAGTACAGGACCCTCTTATATCTGCTTTTGGAACCCTGGGGAGGTGGAAACCTTGGATTCAGGCGTTGACTCAGCATCTCACAGCTCTGACATTGTACGCCTGTCTTCTACCATCTCCGAACTCCAGATACTCCAACAGCGAAAGGGATCTGGGCCCAACACAGGGCTCAGTGAAATCTCTTCATCTCTCATTTTATGGAGCTGAGACCTCCTACAAGCTAGAAGAATGATTGCCAATCTGACATCCTTCTCAGGAAAAATGCAATGTTTGTTCTGCTTGCATTCCTAACTGGAGGATAAATTCCTGGGGGCTTGAGAGAGGGAAGGGAAGCGAACATCTGATGAGGGCGAGGTGTTTTAGAGAAGTTCCACTTGCCAAGGAATGAGCTCCTGTTGGTCATGAAACAACCCTGGCTGACTCAGCAGAGCAAGAGCCTTGCCGTAACAGAGAACAGAGCTCATGCACGCACACTTCGACTCACTGACTTATTCAGCCATGGCCCCATGCTCAGGTTGTGCAGTGTGGAAGCTTTTCCTATTGTTGCCATAACAAATTTCCACAAGATTCGTGGGTGAAAACAAAACGGTTATTTAATTATCTTACAGTGCTCTAGCTCAAAGCATGAAGTGCATCTCACTGGGCTAAAATCAAGATGACAGCAAGCCTGCCTTCCCTCTGAGGATTCCAGGCAAGAATCTGCTTCTCACTTGTCCCATCTTATAAAGGCTCCCAGTTCCTTGGCTGCTGGTCCCCTTCCTCCTTCCTCAAAGCCCACAAAGGCTGGTCACATCTCACATGGCATCACTCAGACCCTTCTTCCTTACCACACCTCTTTCTCTGAATGCTGCTCTCCCTTCTTCCTCATCTTTTGAAAACTTGGGGATTCTATTGGGTTCACCAAGATGAAAATCCGTCATAATCTCCCGGAAATCATTCAGGATACCCTTGTTTTAAGTTCAGCTGATTAGCAACCGTAATTCCATCTGCAATCTTCATTCCTCCTTTCCATGTAAAATAACATATTCACAAGCTATGGAGGCTAGGACAGGGACATTTTGGGGTGGGACAGCATTCTCCTGCCTTCCACAAATGGTGAACAAGATGCATTTGGCCTCTGCTCTTGGGACACTGATATTGCAGATGGTTAAATGGGAGGACAGAAAATGAATGCACAAGTGGACCAATAAATGAATGATCCATTGGGAAGCATCTGTGCATGAAATCTATTTGTTTGTTTGTTCGTTTGTTTATTGAGACAGAGTCTCCCTCTGTCTTCCAGGCTACAGTGCAGTGTCACGATCTTGGCTCACTGCAACCTGCGTCTCCTGGATCCAAGTGATTCTCCTGCCTCACCCTCTCGAGTAGCTGGGATTACAGGCAACTGCCACCATGCCCGGCTAATTCTTTTTGTATATTTTTTGTAGAGAGGATGTTTCACCATGTTGGCCAAGCTTGTCTGAAACTCCCAACCTCAAGTGATCCAACCGTCTCAGCATCCCAAAGTACTGGGATAAAAGGCGTGAGCCACTTTGCCCAGCCAGAATTCAAAATAAATAATAGATAATGCTGAGTGTATAATTTTGGGTGACAGAGAAGGTCTCACTAATCAGATATTTGTGACATTAATGAAAAACACGGATTGAACCCCTGAAAGATTGGCGGAAGGATTTTCCACACACAGCTGTCAGCCGTGAAGGCAGAAAGCTGAAAACAATCTGATGTGGAAGGAAGAGGCTCTGCCTGAAATGCTGGGAATGAGATGGGGAGAATGACAAGACGACTGTAGAGAGACGGAGAGCACACTGGGTACACAGGAAACTAAGGAGCAACAAGGAGTGTGTGTTTGACACTCACAGCCATTGGATTCACCTCGGGGTAACCAGGAATCCCTACATGATTAATATGACTGACATGAAAATAAGGGAGGCTCAGGTGCGTAACTGGAATCTAGGAGACCGTGGAAAAGGCAATTGCCGCCCCACTGGTGAAATGTGGTGCTGATTTAGACACTAAATGAATGAAGTAGATGGATATAAGATATGCTTGTGAGGTAGAATCATTGACTGGAAAGGCTTACTGGGTTTGATTTTCCTACTTGTTTAATCCTCGCTTAATTAATTTCTTTCTGAGATTTATTCATCCTACACATAAATCAATACCTGGCAAAGGAGTGACAGATATATGAGGGGTGGTGGAAATGAAGGGACCTATTATAGCATAATATACAAGTCTGTGAACGGTGGCTCATGCTTGTAACCCAGCACTGCAGGAGGCCAAGGCGGGTGGATTCCATGAAGTCAGGAGTTCCAGACCAGCCTGGCCAACATGGTGAAACCCTATCTGTACTAAAAATACAAAAATTAGCCGAGCATGGTGGTGCATCCCTGTAATCCCAGCTCCTACTCTGGAGGATGAAGCAGGAGAATGACTTCAACCCAGGAGGTGGAGGTTGCAGTGAGTGGAGATTGCATCACTGCACTCCAGCCTGGGTGACACAAGGAGACTCCGTCTCAAAAAATAAAAATAAGAAATGCATAAATATAATAAAACACACACGAATGACAAAGGCACCTGAATTCCAATCATCATTTTTCTATTTCTCTATAATTACTTCTTTGATCCTTTATCTTATCCATTAGGCAATGAGCCTAAAACCTCTTCCCTATTTGGCTTTCTGTGAGCATGAGATCACATAGAAAATGTGAAAGCCCGCTGAATCCTCCAGCACGGATCCTGGAATAGAGAAAGTGCTCTGGTCATCGCAAAAAAAAACTTGCCCACTCACCCAAATCCCCCACCTCACCCCTACTTCCAATCACCTGTGGAGATTCAGATAGACCATGGGGAGGAAACATTAATACTCCTTGGAGTGAGTCCAGATCTTGGAATCAGAGATCAGCGACAGCACTAGCTCCTGTTCCCCTTTCCTACTAATTCACAGGAGGACAGGTGGTATTGAAGCAATAGATGGTCGAGGGGGTGGTCCTTCCCCCAGCCTCTCGGGTAGAACAGCAACCTAACATGTGTCTCCCGAGATCACAAAGAGTAGCACATTTCACACGGGCTTCAACACTATTTCCTGGCTGTTTGACATAAGAGAATCTTGCTTCGCTATTTTTAATCGTGATGTCACCTTTGTTTCCTTTCCTTGGTGAATGCAATTTGTTTGACTCAAGAATGCTGTGGATGTAGAAATCCTAAAGCACATTCGCTGTGTATCAATCCCAGTGCAGTCTTCCCAGAGAAGACTCTAAACAAATCCTGGACTGCACCTGGGCCTATGCCAATTCCTATCACTCACCGTCACTCCAGGGAGACAGAACACACAGAGAATACGTTACATAGGCAGGTTCATTACTAACAGATAAGCAGCGAGTGACAACAGAAGCCTGCATTTCAATGTGAGCCAGTCCCTCAAGGCTCAGAAAAGCTGCTCGGGACATATGGAGTCACCCCATTTGCAGTGTAGCTGGGGGAAGCCAGAAAGCAGCCCAGCCTGGGTTTTGTACCCTGGAGCCACAGGAAGCACTCAGCTAAAGCACTGCATGACGTCCTCCTCCAGGAAGAACAGGAAGACAGCCCAGGCTGTTCTGAGACATTCCTCCTGATCTCAGGATGTTGCTATCTTAGTCCATTTTTGTTGCTCTAAAGGAACACTTGAGCCTGGGTAACTTCTAAAGAAAAGAGATTGGTTTGCCTCACAGTTCTGCAGGCTGTACTGGAAGCATGGCACCAGAATCTATTTCTCGTGACGGCCTCAGGCTGCTCCCACTCTGGCAGAAGGGAAGGAGGGTCTGTCTGTGCAGAGACCGCAGAGATCACACGGCAAGAGAGAGAGTAAGGGGGAGAGGGAGCGATGGAGCTTCCAAGCTCTTTTTAACAACCAGCTCTCCAGGAACTAACAGAGGGGGAACTTGCTAACCCCGTCTCCTTGGGACAGCATTGATCTGTTCATGATGGATCCACCTCCATGACCCAAACACCTCTGAAGAGGCCCAACCTCCCACAATGGGGGTGAAATTTCAATGTGAGGTTTGAAAGGGTCAAACATCTCAACTAAAGTAGTTGTATCCTCAGCACGTTCTATGGTTACTATGAGAGCTATAATTGAGAAAGCAGGGGAAAGCTAGGTCTCCCGCCATTTGGGTGCTTGTCCTAAAGAGACGTTGTATGTGGTTACCTGCCAATCAAGAAATGCGAGACAATTCATAAAGAGGAACTGCTATGATTAGCTTCTTATTGGTGTCTCCTCTTCTTCCAGGTAACCCCAGACACCTACATGTTCTGATTGGGACCTCAGTGGTCAAAATCCCTTTCACCATCCTCCTCTTCTTTCTCCTTCATCGCTGGTGCTCCGACAAAAAAAGTAAGTCTCACGAAGCAGAGGCCAGAGAGCTCAGGGCCATGTGGGGAAGCAGGATGGGAGCACGCGGATGTGTGTTCCTCACCAGCAGGATGGTCCCTGGCCCAAGACAGGAGCCACAGAGGCAGGACTTTCTAGAGAGAGCACCAGATTCCCTTCCCCTGCCTTCAGCTCACAGACCATTGCCTGATTCTGAACTGTATCCTCACGTCCCCTGCAGCCACTCACATCCAGGAGAAGGTTCCATGACAGGCAGAAAGTGGGAGATAGAATCAATGGGATGGGACCTCAGAGCTATTCATGGGATGGGTCCTTGAACTCAGAGAGATAGAATGTCTGAGTCTGCTGTTGGCAACTGAGGGACCTCAGGCACCTATGGCCTCCCCCTGTTTGTTGGTATCTGCTTATGAAATGAGGACCCAGAAGTGCCCTCCGAGCTCTTTTGTTGACTTCCGTCTTCTACAGATGCTGCTGTAATGGACCAAGAGCCTGCAGGGAACAGAACAGTGAACAGCGAGGTAGGTGCTCCTCGGCCCAGCCTCGTGGCTAGTCTTATTCCCAAAGAGTCCTGAAAAATGTGAGCACCCTCCCTCACTCAGCATTTCCCTCTCTCCAGGATTCTGATGAACAAGACCATCAGGAGGTGTCATACGCATAATTGGATCACTGTGTTTTCACACAGAGAAAAATCACTCGCCCTTCTGAGAGGCCCAAGACACCCCCAACAGATACCAGCATGTACATAGAACTTCCAAATGCTGAGCCCAGATCCAAAGTTGTCTTCTGTCCACGAGCACCACAGTCAGGCCTTGAGGGGATCTTCTAGGGAGACAACAGCCCTGTCTCAAAACCGGGTTGCCAGCTCCCATGTACCAGCAGCTGGAATCTGAAGGCATCAGTCTTCATCTTAGGGCATCGCTCTTCCTCACACCACGAATCTGAACATGCCTCTCTCTTGCTTACAAATGTCTAAGGTCCCCACTGCCTGCTGGAGAGAAAACACACTCCTTTGCTTAGCCCACAATTCTCCATTTCACTTGACCCCTGCCCACCTCTCCAACCTAACTGGCTTACTTCCTAGTCTACCTGAGGCTGCAATCACACTGAGGAACTCACAATTCCAAACATACAAGAGGCTGCCTCTTAACACAGCACTTAGACACGTGCTGTTCCACCTCCCTTCAGACTATCTTTCAGCCTTCTGCCAGCAGTAAAACTTATAAATTTTTTAAATAATTTCAATGTAGTTTTCCCGCCTTCAAATAAACATGTCTGCCCTCATGGTTTCGGTAACGAGACTCTTTTCTTGCCTAAGGCTTCCGGTGTTATCATTACCATGTCCACATAACCCCATCTGTTCTCCATTGGGTTCTCAGCCCTGGACTCTGAGCTTCTGGAAGCAGAATGGAGCCTGATTTGTCTCTGAGACTCCAATTTCCATCCAAAGATACAGCACATAGGAGGCTCCAAGGATCGTGAATCACATGAACAAGTGATATTCTTACTCTCTGCAGACCTGGAAAGCTGGCAGAGTCATTCCACGATGAAACATTTGTAGAGTCATAGGCCTTGTTAGTCTCATCTCCACGGGGACACATATCAACATATCATCTTTCATAATATAAATATACAGTCGGTCCTCCATATCTGTGGGGTTTACAGGTGTTTATTGAACCAACAATAAATCAAAAATATTTTCAGAAAAAAATCCCCGAAGTTTCAAGAAGCAAAAAACTATGTTGAATCGACACAAATTGAGTGGCGTGTAGGCTGTGTCAGGAATTATAAGTAATCAAGGGATGATTTCATGTATACAGGAGGATGTGCATGGGTTCTATGCAATTGCTATGCTATTTTTTTTTTTTTTTGAGACAGTCTCACTCTCTCACCCAGGCTGGAGTGCAGTGGCATGATCTCAGCTCACTGCAACCTCCGCCTCCCAGGTTCAAGCGATTGTCTTCCCTCAGCCTCCCCAGTAGCCTCCCCTAGGATTACAGGCACGTGCCACCATGCACAGATAAATTTTTTTGTGTGTGTATTTTTAGTAGAGACGGGGTTTCAGAATGTTGGACCAGCTGGTCTTGAACTCCTGACCTCGTGATCTACCCAACTCAGCCTCCCAAAGTGCTGGGATTACAGGCGTGAGCCACGGTGCCCAGCTTCGCTATGCCATTTCATGCAAGGGGCTTGAGCATCTGCAGATTTTGGTATCTGAATGGGGATCCTGGAACCAATCACCCAGGAATAGTGAAGGACCACAGTATATAATTTTTATTTGTCAATCTTAAAAATAAAGCATAAAAAGTTTACAACAACAAGATAAAAAATAAGAAGTGTCTTTATAGTGTGAGGATAAGTTTAGATTTATTTTTTCCTACGTGTAACCCTATGGTCCTGTGTTATTTGTTGAGAAAATATTCTATTCCACCTTAAACTACATGGCAGCCTTTGTCAACTATAAAGGGACTGTGTATCCACAGATGTATTTTAGACACAGTTTTCTGCCCAGTGGTTCTCTGTATCCCCTCTCATGAGGATGCTGCATTTCATATAAACTTATAGAACCCCTTAAAATTTGGTAACCTGAGTTCTCTGATTTGTTATTATAGGTTATTTAGTTTGCTTTTTTTTTTCTTTCTTGAGACAGACTCTTCCTCTGTCACCCAAGCTGGAGTTCAGTGGCTTGAGCTCAGCTCACTGCAGCCTCCGCCTCCCAGGTTCAAGCAATTCTCGTGCCTCAGGTTTAGTACTAGAAACTCATCAGGAAAATTAGAATGGCTTTTTGTCACAATTACTCTGATAATGTTAATAATACCTCTTAGATATTTTGCACATTACACATGAAGAAAAGTTTGAATCTCAGATAAAAACAAAAATACATCAAAAGTCTTTAATGTAAGCACAGAATTCAATCACCTCATGTGTGAGAGGTTGGATCTGAGACGTCTTTTGAGTCTGGTCATAGTGAAGGATGCAAGGTGGCAATTGTAGTCACAACAATTTCCAGGAAGCCATGTTCCGCTCTTGAGCGAGCACCCACTGGGCCTCATGCAAGGTAGAAAGAGCCTGCGTACGTCACCCTCCCATGATGTGGTCAACATGTAAACTGCATGGGCAGGGCGCCAAATAACATCCTGTGCGCTGCTGAGCTGAGCTGGGGCGCGGCCTCCTGTCTGCACCGGCAGCACCATGTCGCTCACGGTCGTCAGCATGGCGTGCGTTGGTGAGTCCTGGAAGGGAATAGAGGGAGGGAGAGTGGGGATGGAGATCTCGGCCTAGAGGTAAAGATATGGGCCTGGAGTGGAGATATGGGCCTGGAGTGGAGATATGGGCCTGGGTGTGGAGATATGGGCCTGGAGGTGTAAATATGGGCCTGGAGTGGAGATATGGGCCTGGAGGGGAGATATGGGCCTGGGTGTGGAGATATGGGCCTGGAGTGGAGATACGGGCCTGGAGTGGAGATATGGGCCTGGAGTGGAGATATGGGCCTGCAGGTGGAGATCTGGGCCTGGAGTGGAGATATGGGCCTGGAGTGGAGATATGGGTCTGATGTGGAGATATGGGCCTGGAGTGGAGATATGGGCCTGGAGTGGAGATATGGGCCTAGAGGGGAGATCTGGGCCTGGAGTGGAGATATGGGTCTGATGTGGAGATATGGGCCTGGAGTGGAGATATGGGCCTGGAGTGGAGATAGGGGCCTGGAGTGGAGATATGGGCCTGGAGTGGAGATCTGGGCCAGGAAGTGTTGATCTGGGCCTGGAGCCTGGGTCTCTCCACAGCTGAGAGCCCTGTTCTTGGCAGCAGGTAGCAGGGAGGCTAAGTTTACCTTCAGCCCAGCAAGGGCCTGGCTGCCAAGACACACAGTGCAGTGGGGGCAGCAGGGTGCCCTGGTTTGCCTGCAGTTGGATCGTCTATCATGATCTTTCTTTCCAGGGTTCTTCTTGCTGCAGGGGGCCTGGCCACTCATGGGTGAGTCCGTCCCCAAACCTTAGGGTGTCATCTCCCCACATAAGAGGATTTTTCTGAAACAGGAGGGAAGTCCTGTCGGGGAGTCTCTCATAAACTAGGAAGAGGGGACCCTTGGATACTCGGCCCACATTTCTGACCTCGCCCTCCCTGGCCTTTCTTTCCCTTTCCTGAGTCAAGCTCTGTGAAGACTGGGGTGAGACTGGGGTGCTCCAAGCTGGGGTGTGCAGGGAGGAAGTGGTGTCAGCAGCAGAGAAAGAGAGGGAAGCAGTGCTAGGAACAGCAGGTCCTCTGAGGACAAAGGTATAACTGACACCCTCCAGCGTTTCCGTGACGGTAGGGGCTGCAGTGTGGCTGCGGTCTTTCTACCAGAAGAGGGGGGAAACCACAGCCATGGCCCTGACATTCCAAATCCTCTGAGGGGGCTCAGTTCATGAATTGGCTGATATTCCACTCACATAGGACATGCCCTCCATGCCGTGTCTACTTTGTGTTGTTTTATGTGAGTAATTTTGCAGTATTAAAATCTAGTAAGAGTCACTTATTCAGCACTTGCTCAAAGTTCTCAGCTGACACTTGTTGTAGGGAGACGCCATGTCTATGTGGGGTGGGTCCTTCCTGTAGCCCTGGGCACCCAGGTGTGGTAGGAGCCTTAGAAAGCGGAAATGGGAGAATCTTCTGAGCACAGGGAGGGAGGGGTGGCTCCACATCCTCCTCTCTAAGGCAGTGCCTCCTTCTCCCCCAGGTGGTCAGGACAAACCCTTCCTGTCTGCCCGGCCCAGCACTGTGGTGCCTCGAGGAGGACACGTGGCTCTTCAGTGTCACTATCGTCGTGGGTTTAACAATTTCATGCTGTACAAAGAAGACAGAAGCCACGTTCCCATCTTCCACGGCAGAATATTCCAGGAGAGCTTCATCATGGGCCCTGTGACCCCAGCACATGCAGGGACCTACAGATGTCGGGGTTCACGCCCACACTCCCTCACTGGGTGGTCGGCACCCAGCAACCCCCTGGTGATCATGGTCACAGGTCAGAGGCTTTCTGTCTGGGCTTCTCACTGTCCCACCTCCTGAATCCCAGAGCTTCTGGTGGGGGTGTCCATCAGGGTCCCATCACCCAGGCCCCAACTGTATTTGGGGTCAAGGGAGATTGAATACAGGGGAAATGGGCGCTGTGGTGGGAAGAATAACTGTCGCCAATGATGGCTACATTGTAAACCCTGGAGCCTGTGACTATTTATGTTATAGGGCAGGGGACTGAAGGGGAAGGTGGAGCTCAGGTTGTTGATGAGTTGACCTTGAGATGGGGAGACAGCCTGGACTGTCCTGCTGGGCTCAGTGTAATCACAAGGGTCCGCGTGAGAGGTGGAGGAAGAGGGGAGTGGGGATTAGAGCAGTGTAGTGGGAGGGAGACGCTATCAGCCACTGTGGGCTTTGAAGGTGGAGGAAGGCCACTAGTCACAGAATGCAGGTGGCCTCTAAGGGCTGGAGAAGTCAAGAGAACTGATTCGCTGAGTCTCCAGAGGGAACGCAGCCCTGCAGATGCCTTGATTTCAGCACAGGGAGAACTGGATCCAATTTCTGTCCCCAGAAGTGGAAGGGGTCAGTGTGTTCTCTCCTGCTGCCATGTTTGTGATAATTTTCTGCAGCAGCAACAGGAAACCGACACAGGAACCCAGGTCAAGGACAAGCTAGGAAACCAAACAAGGATAGCCAGGTGTGGTGGTGGGCACGAGTAATCCAACGACTGGGGAGGCTGAGGCAAGAGAATCACTTGAACCGGGGAGGCAGAGGTTGCAGTGAGCCAAGACAACACCACTGCACTCCAGCCTGGGTGAAAAAGTGACTGTCTCAAAAATAAATTAATTAATCAATTAATTAAAGAAACCAAACAAGGAGAAGGTTGGCTACCGTGGGATCAGCAAGGGTGGGATGCTGATGCCACCACCAGGCTCCATCCACATAGGAAGGGGTTGATGCTCCTGGAACCAGCACCAGGGACCACCCTATGGAAGCTGGGGCCATGGAGAAGGCACAGACATGGCAGGAGAGGCTCCCAATCCCCATCAGGAACAGGGTGTGTGGACACTGATGTCTGCCTTACTGATGAGTTGATACCTCTGCCAGAGACTCCAATTTGTTCAAAAGAGATTGATTCAGGCTGCTGAGAGCCTGGACATGCAGCCTGTCCTCTTCCACCCCCACATAGACAGCAGGAAAGAGACTAGTGGGAAAGAGATACAACAGCCCAAGAGATGAGGCTCTCTTCACAGTGGGAAGGGAGTCAGGGGCTACTGGAGACAGAGGGACAGAGAAGAGGGAGGAAGACAAATGGAGGGACCTGCACCAGGGGATATGGGCACAGAAAAGACACGGAGACACAGAGAGGGAGGAGAGAGACAGACCTCTGGGAGGGGAACCCTCACTCATTCCAGGTGCCATGGATGGGATGATAAAGAGAGATGCCTTCTAAACTCACAACTTCTCTTTCTAGGAAACCACAGAAAACCTTCCCTCCTGGCCCACCCAGGGCCCCTGCTGAAATCAGGAGAGACAGTCATCCTGCAATGTTGGTCAGATGTCATGTTTGAGCACTTCTTTCTGCACAGAGATGGGATCTCTGAGGACCCCTCACGCCTCGTTGGACAGATCCATGATGGGGTCTCCAAGGCCAACTTCTCCATCGGTCCCTTGATGCCTGTCCTTGCAGGAACCTACAGATGTTATGGTTCTGTTCCTCACTCCCCCTATCAGTTGTCAGCTCCCAGTGACCCCCTGGACATCGTGATCACAGGTGAGAGTGTCCAGACATTCTTCTCATTGTCATTGGGACACAGAGTGAATGATCCAGGACTTGGAACCCCCAGGTGGTCATGAGGAAGATAAGCGTGGGATTCTTATGGAGAGAGACTGACTCGGTGAGGTCTGTACCAACAGAGACAGGGAAACAGGAGACATAAGTACAGACCAGGTGTCATAACAGAGGACAGACACAGGGGCCATACGGGGAAGTAGAAAAGAGAGAAAGAGGTAAAGGAGACACTCAGACAGACAGACATGTGCCAGAGAGAAGTGTCCTTCCATGCTGACTTTGCTCAGAGACCTGGCACAGGTTAGAAGTTTCATTTCTGTTTTGTCTCCACAAAGTGCTTCTACGAGGAGAACCCAAGGACACCCATATTTCTGACCTGAGTTGGGCCCTGTGGCCTCAGGCCTTGTGGCATCTACAGATGCCATGTTTATTCTGACACCTCTGCCTTCCATGCAGTGGAGCCATAATTATCCCAGGATATCATGGCCCCAGAACACCAACCCCTAAATACTGTGTGTACTTGGTGTCCCCAGACTAGATTCTGAGGCTCATATTCCAAATAATCCTACATATAATAGGATCACTGAGAGACACAGAGATAAATCAGGGACTTCAAAAAGCAAAGGCATAAACACACAGAGAATGAGCCAGAGGAAGGGGATTGAGAGACTCACAGACACACAAAAAGAAAGAAAAGAGGGCAGAGGAGTGGAGAGAATGCTGGAAGGGAGGAGAGAAAAGCCCCAAAATCAGAACCCTGAGGGAGGGGCACAAAGACAGAGAAAGATAAAGATGTGGGGATGGATTGCAGAGATTCCAAATAGAACTAGAGAGACTGAGAGGCAGAGAAAGACAAGGAGATGGAGAGAGACAGATGATAGATGGATAGATAGATATAGATAGATGATAAATAGGTAGATGATAGATAATGGATAGGTTATAGATACATAGATGATGATTGATAGATGATACATAGAGATGATGATGATGATGATGATGAAGATAGATAGATAGAAGACACATATATAAATATATAGATACATAGATGATACATAGAGACTGACAGGCAGACAGAGAGGTAATAGAGAGAGAGAGAGATGATACATAGATACAGATAATACATAGATGATTGATGGATAGACAGATAGACAATTGATAGATAAATGATACATAGATATAGATGACAGATAATTTGTAGATAGACACAAAATAGATAGATAGATAATAGATAGAAATATGCAGAAAGTTATGAACAAGACAGAAAGTGAGAGACTCAGAATTATAGAAAAAGGAAGATCAAGTCAACCAATCCAAGGAGAGTCAGAGAGAATAAAACAATCCAAAAAGGGAAAGCATACCCAGGGGTGGGGAAGTGAGGTCAGAGACCTAGAGAGACAGAGAAGGCGGAAGGAGGAAATAGACATGAAGAGAGTTGGGGTGGAGGGTGAGAGAGAGAGAGAGCATTAGGTCATAGAGCAGGGGAGTGAGTTCTCAGCTCAGGTATGAGGGGAGCTGTGACAAGGAAGAACCTCCCTGAGGAAACTGCCTCTTCTCCTTCCAGGTCTATATGAGAAACCTTCTCTCTCAGCCCAGCCGGGCCCCACGGTTCAGGCAGGAGAGAACGTGACCTTGTCCTGTAGCTCCTGGAGCTCCTATGACATCTACCATCTGTCCAGGGAAGGGGAGGCCCATGAACGTAGGCTCCGTGCAGTGCCCAAGGTCAACAGAACATTCCAGGCAGACTTTCCTCTGGGCCCTGCCACCCACGGAGGGACCTACAGATGCTTCGGCTCTTTCCGTGCCCTGCCCTGCGTGTGGTCAAACTCAAGTGACCCACTGCTTGTTTCTGTCACAGGTGAGGAAAACCCGTGTCTGTCCCATGTCTTATGATCCTAGAGCCATAGCTGAGGAGCTTCCTGCCGATGATGGGGAGAAGCATGGACAGATGCAGAGAGAACACGAAGACTGGGTGTGAGGGGGGGGTCAGGGTGCAGGATGGCAGACAGGGCACCTCCAAACCCTCTTGCATGGCCTGCATGGAGGCCCATGGTCAGGGCTCCAGGCACCCAGGCAGATGGAGAAAGCGGTCAGGACAGACCCAGAGAAGGGGAGACTGGGCTCAGTTTGGGGAGATCAGAGGTTCCCTCAGCCCCTCAACCTTACCCATTTCCCAGAAGCCCATCCTGGCCTCTCACCCACACAGAGAGATGTCATCACCAGCAACCCCTACACTCTTTTCTTTTCATTTTCAAAAATATTTATTGAGGTTAAATGTAACTATATAATTTACCAACTTTACCATTTTTAAAAGTAAAATCTAGTGGTCATAAATACCTTTATATGCTGGGTGTGGTGGTTCACGGTTGTAATCTTGGCGCTTTGAGAGGCCAAGAAAGGTGGATCATTTAAGATCAGGGACTCGAGATCAGCCTGGCCAACATGCGGGAAATTCATCTTTACTAAACAGACAAGAAAAATTAGCCAAGCATGCCGGCATGCACCTGTAGTCCTAGCTACTTGGGAGGCTGAGGCAGGAGAAGCACTTAAAGCCAGGAGGCAGAGGTTGCACTGAGCCGAGATCATGCCACTGCACTGCAGCCTGGGAGACAGAGAGAGACTCTGTTTCTAAATAAATAAATACATCTATATTCTTTTTTTTGTTACCCTCCACCCTTCCCTTCCTGGCCTCTGGTATCCACCATTCTATTCTCTACCTTCATGAGATCCACCTTTTATCTCCTGCATGTGGTGAGAAATGGGAATCTTTGTAATGACCTCGAGTTCCATCCATGTGGCTGCAAATGACAGGATGTTATTGTTTCTATGGATGAGTAGTCTCCACCGTGTGTGTGTACTACAGTTCTCTATCCATTCACCCACTGATAGGCAGGTAGGTTGACTCCACATCTTGGCTACTGTGAACAGTGCTGGAACAGTCATATGAGTGCAGATATCACTTCGATACACTGATGTCCTTTCCTTTGGATATAAACCCAGTAGTGAAATTGCTGGACACTATGAAAGTTCTCTTTTTTTTTTTTTCTTTTTTGAGAAAGAGTTTCCCTCCTTAGTCCAAGCTGGAGTCAAAGTGGTGCGATCTTGGCTCATTGCAACCTCTGCTTCCTAGGTTCAAACGATTCTCCTGACTCAGCCTCCCTAGTAGCTGTGATTACAGGTGCACGCCACCATGCCTGACTAATTCTTGTATTTTTTAGCACAGACGGGATATCCCAATTTTGGGCAGGCTGCTCTCAAACTCCTGACCTCAAGTGAGGTGCCTGCCTCGGTTTCCCAAAGTGCTGAAGTTACAGGCATAAGCCACTATGCCCAGCCTCCTTTTAGTTTTTTAAAGATTTTCCATACTTTTCTCCATAATAGTTGTACTAATTTACATTCCTACCAACAGGGTACCAGGGTTCTCCTTTCTCTACCATCTTGCCAGCATTTGTTTTGCCTGTCTTGCAGATAAAAGCCATTTTACTTTACTTTATTTATTTATTTATTTATGTTGAGATGGAGTTTCACTCATAGTCGCCCAGGCTGGAGTGCAAGGGTGTGATCTCGGCTCACTGCAACCTCTGCCTCCCGCGTTCAACTGATTCTCCTGCCTCAGCCTCCAAAGTAGCTGGGATTACAGGCATGTGCCACCACGCCTAGCTAATTTTTGTATGTTTAGTAGAGAGGGAGTTTCTCCATGTTGGTCAGGCTGGTCTCCCGACCTCAGGTGATCCGCCCACCTCCGCCTCCCAAAGTGCTGGAATTACAGGCGTGAGCCACCGGCCTAAAAGGCATTTTAATGGGATGAGATGAAAACTCATCGCGATTGTAATTTACATTTCTGTGATGATGAGTGATGCTGAGCACTTTTTCATATACGTGATCGCCATTTCTATGTTTTGTTTGTGGAGAAATGTCTCCTCATGTCTTTTGCTCGTTTTTTAATTAAATTGTTTTATTGAGTTGTTTGAGCTTCTTATATTTCCAGTTATTAATCCCATCTCAGATGAATAGTTTGCAAATATTTGCTCCTATTTTGTGGGTTGTCTCTTCACTTTGTTGGTTTATCTTTGGTGGTGCAGAAGTTGCTTGGTTTGATGTAATCCTAATGGTCTATTTTTTGCTTTGATTACTTGTGTTTTGAAGGTTTTAAACAAAATGTCTTTCGTCAGACAAATGTCTTCCCCATTATTTTCTTCTACATGTTTCATAGGTTCAGGCCTTAGACTCATGTTTTTAATCCATTTTCATTTGATTTTTGTGTAAGGTGACAGGTATAGATGCAGTTTTATTCCTCTGCATGTAGATATCCAGTTTTCCCCACACCATTTATTGAAGACTGTCCTTTCCTGATTGTAAGTTCTCGGCACCTTTGTCAAAGTCCATTAAATGGGCTGGGTATGGTGGCTCACACCTGCAATTCCAGCACTTTGGGAGGCCGAGGCGGGTGGATCACCTAAAGCCAGGAGTTCAAGACCAGGCTGGCCAACAGAGTGAAACCTCGTCTCTACTAAAAATACAAAAATTAGCTGAGCATGGTGATCAGTGCCTGTAATACCACTACTCAGGAGTTTGAAGCAAGAGAATTTCTTGAATCCAGGAAGTGGAGGTTGCATTGAGCTGAGATTGCACCTCTACACTCCAGCCTGCATGACAGAGCAAGATTCTATCACACACACACAAAAGAAAGCCATTGGATGTAAATGCATGGATTATATCTGTGTTCTCCATTCTGTTCCATTTTTTATGTGCCTTTCTTTATGCCAATGTCATGCTGTTTTGCTTACTACAGCTCTGTAACATATTTCTAAGTCAGGTAGTGTGATGCTCCTGTTTTCTCTTTATACCTTCAAGTCTCAAGACAGTGGGCATCGCACACAAAAATTATGGAGAAAAGGATCCCAAGACTCCCAGGGTCCAACATTAGATAACAGAGTGTTGGCCATGAACCAACCTCAAAGATTTCCATTGAGTAGAGGACAAGCACCCTCATTTCCTCACATCTCTCCTGTCCCGTGTTCTAGGAAACCCTTCAAGTAGTTGGCCTTCACCCACAGAACCAAGCTCCAAATCTGGTGAGTAAAGGACCCCTCTTATCTCTGCTTTTGGAAACCTGGGGAGGTGGAAGCCTTGGATGCAAGTGTTGGCTCAAACCTCCCAGCTCTGTGAATGAGGGCCTGTCTTCCACCATCTCTGAACTCCAGACACTCCAACAGTGAAAGGGATCTAGGGCCACCAAAGGGCTCAGCGAAGTCTCTTTACCTTTAATTTCCTGCAGGTGAGACCTCCTACAAGCTAGAAGAATAATTGCCAATCTGACATCCTTCTCAGGAAAAATGCAGTGTTTTTTCTGCCTGCATTCCTAACTGGAGGATAAATTCCCGGGGGCTTGAGAGAGGGAAGGGAAGGGAACATCTGATGAGGGTGGGTGTTTTAGAGAAGTTCCACTTGCCAAGGAATGAATTACTGTTGGTCATCAGGCAACCCTGGCTGACTCAGCAGAGCAAGAGCCTTGCCGTAACAGAGAACAGAGCTCATGCACGCACACTTCGACTCACTGACTCATTCAGCCACGGCCCCATGCTCAGGCTGTGCAGTGTGGAAGCTTTTCCTATTGTTGCCATAACAAATTTCCACAAGATTCGTGGGTGAAAACAAAACGGTTATTTAATTATCTTACAGTGCTGTAGCTCAAAGCATGACGTGCATGTCACTGGGCTAAAATCAAGGTGACAGCAAGGCTGCCTTCCCTCTGAGGGTTCCAGGCAAGAATCTGCTTCTCACTTTTCTCAGCTTCTAGAGGCTCCCATGTTCCTTGGCTCCTGGTACCCTTCCTCCTTCCTCAAAGCCCACAAAGACTGGTCACATCTCACATGGCATCACTCAGACCCTTCTTCCTTACCACACCTCTTTCTCTGAATGCTGCTCTCCCTTCTTGCCCTTCTTTTGAAAACTTGGGGATTCTATTGGGTTCACCAAGATGAAAATCCATCATAATCTCCCGGAAATCATCCAGGATACCCTCCTTTTAAGTTCAGCTGACTAGCAACCATAATTCCATCTGCAATCTTCATTCCTCCTTTCATGTAAAATAACATATTCACAAGCTATGGAGGCTAGGACATGGACATTTTTGGGGTGGGACAACATTCTCCTGCCTTCCACAAACAGTGAACAAGATGCATTTGGCCTCTGTTCTTGGGACACTGATCTTGCAGATGGTTAAATGGGAGGGCAGAAAATGTAGGCACAAGGGGACCAATAAATGAATGATCTATTGAGAAGCATCTGTGCATGAAATCTATTTATTTATGTATTTACCTACTTGTTTATTGAGACGGAGCCTTGCTCTGTCGTCCAGGCTAGAGTGCAGTGGCATGATCTCGGCTCACTGCAACCTCCACCTCCTGGGCTGAACTGATCTCCTCCCTCAGCCTCTCCAGTAGCTGGGATTACAGACCACAACCACCACGCCCGGCTAACTCTTTTTGCATATTTTCTGTAGAGAGGATGTTTCACCATGTTGGCCAGGCTGGTCTCAAATTCCCAACCTCAGGTGATCCAATAGCCTCTGCCTCCCAACACGCTGGGATAAGAGGCATGAGCCACGGGGCCAAGCCAAATTTTCAAATCAATAATAGATAATGCTGAGTGTATGATTTCAGGTGACAGAGAAGTTCTCACTAATCAGATATTTGTGACATTAATGAAAAACACGGATTGAACCCCTGGAAGATTGGCAGAAGGATTTTCCACACAGCTGTCAGCCGTGAAGGCACAAAGGTGAAAACAATCTGATGTGGAAGGAAGAGGCTCTGCCTGAAATGCCGGGAATGAGATGGGGAGAATGACAAGACGACTGTGGAGAGACGGAGAGCACACTGGGTACACAGGAAACTAAGGAGCAACAAGGAGTGTGTGTTTGACACTCACAGCCCTTGGATTCACCTCGGGGTAACCAGGAATCCCTACATGATTAATATGACTGACATGAAAATAAGGGAGGCTCAGGTGCATAACTGGAATCTAGGAGACCGTGGAAAAGGCAATTGCCGCCCCACTGGTGAAATGTGGTGCTGATTTAGACACTAAATGAATGAAGTAGATGGATATAAGATATGTTTGTGAGGTAGAATCATTGACTGGAAACGCTTACTGGGTTTAATTTTTCCTGGTAGTTTAATCCTTGCTTCACTAACTTATTTCTGAGATTTATTTCTCCTGCATCTAAATCAATACCTGGCAGAGGAGGGAGAGCTAGATGAGGGGTGGTGCAAATGAAGGGACCTAGTATAGCATAATATACAAGGCTGTGAACGGTGGCTCACGCCTGTAACCCAGCACTTCAGGAGGCCAACGCGGGTGGATCACATGAAGTCAGGAGTTCGAGACCAGCCTGGCCAACATGGAGAAACCCTATCTCTACTAAAAATACAAAAATTAAACAGGCATGATGGTGGTGCATGACTGTAATCCCAGCTACTCTGGAGGAGGAAGCAGGAGAATGACTTCAGCCCTGGAGGCAGAGGTTGCAGTGAGTGGAGATCGCATCACTGCACACCAGCCTGGGCTACACAGGGATACTCTGTCTCAAAAAATAAAAATAAAAAATACATAAATATAATAATATACACAAATGATGCAGGCACCTGAATTCCAATCATCATTTTTCTATTCCTCTATAATTACTTCTTTGATCCTTTATCTTATCCATTAGAAAATCAGCCTAAAACCTCTTCCATATTTGGCTTTCTGTGAACATGAGATCATATGGAAAATATGAAAGCCCCCTGAACCCACCAGCACAGGCCCTGAAATAGGGAAAGTGCTCTGTTCATCACAAGAAACTTTCCCCCTCACCCAAATCCCCCACCTCACCCCTACTTCCAATCACCTGTGGAGATACAGATAGATCATGGGGAGGTAAACGCTAATACTCCTTGGAGTGAGTTCAGATCTTGGAATCAGAGATCAGCACCAGCACTAGCTCCTGCTCCCCTTTCCTACTAATTCACAGGAGGACAGGTGGTTTTGAAGCAATAGATGGTGGAGGGGGTGGTCTTTCCCCCAGCCTCTCAGGTGGAACAGCAGCCTAACATGTGTCTCGCGAGATCACAAAGAGTAGCACGTTTCACATGGGCTTCATCATTATTTCCTGGCTGTTTGACATAAGAGAATTCTACTTTGCTTTTTTGATCTTGATTTCACTTTTGTGTCCTTTTCTTGGAGAATGTAATTTGAGTCAAGAGGGTTGTGGATGTAGAAACTGTAAAGCACATTCACTGTGTATCAATCCCAGTCCAGTCTTTCCAGAGAAGACTCTAAACACCTGCTGTACTGCACCTGGGCCTATGCCAATTTCTATCACTCACCGTCACTCCAGGGAGACAGAACACACAGAGAATACGTTACATAGGCAGGTTCATTACTAACAGATAAGCAGCGAGTGACAACAGAAGCCTACATTTCAACGTGAGCCAGTCCCTCAAGGCTCAGAAAAGCTGCTCGGGACATATGGAGTCACCTCATTTGCAGTGTATCTGGGGGAAGCCAGAAAATAGCCCAGCCTGGGTTTTGTACCCTGAAGCCACAGGAAGCACTCAGCTAAAGCACTGCATGACGTCCTCCTCCAGGAAGAACAGGAAGACAGCACAGGCTGTTCTGAGACGTTCCTCCTGATCTCAGGACGTTGCTGTCTTAGTCCATTTTTGTTGCTATAAAAGAACACTTGAGCCTGGGTTACTTCTTTTTTTTTTTTTTTTTTTTTGTATAGTGCTTCTGATGAGCTTTTTTTTAAAATTTTTATTATTATTATACTTTAAGTTTTAGGGTACATGTGCACAATGTGCAGGTTAGTTACATATGTATACATGTGCCATGCTGGTGTGCTGCACCCATCAACTCGTCATTTAGCATTAGGTATATCTCCTAATGCTATCCCTCCCCCCTCCCCCCACCCCACAACAGTCCCCAGAGTGTGATGTTCCCCTTCCTGTGTCCATGTGTTCTCATTGTTCAATTCCCACCTATAAGTGAGAACATGCGGTGTTTGGATTTTTGTCCTTGTGATAGTCTACTGAGAATGATGATTTCCAATTTCATCCATGTCCCTGCAAAGGACATGAACTCATCATTTTTTATGGCTGCATAGTATTCCATGGTGTATATGTGCCACATTTTCTTCATCCAGTCTATCATTGTTGGACATTTGGGTTGGTTCCAAGTCTTTGCTATTGTGAATAGTGCCACAATAAACATACGTGTCCATGTGTCTTTATAGCAGCATGATTTATAGTCCTTTGGGTTTATACCCAGTAATGGGATGGCTGGGTCAAATGGTATTTCAAGCTCTAGATCCCTGAGGAATCGCCACACTGACTTCCACAATGGTTGAACTAGTTTACAGTCCCACCAACAGTGTAAAAGTGTTCCTATTTCTCCACATCCTCTCCAGCACCTGTTGTTTCCCGACTTTTTAATGATCGCCATTCTAACTGGTGTGAGATGGTATCTCATTGTGGTTTTGATTTGCATTTCTCTGATGGCCAGTCATGGTGAGCATTTTTTCATGTGTTTTTTGGCTGCATAAATGTCTTCTTTTGAGAAGTGTCTGTTCATGTCCTTTGCCCACTTTTTGATAGGATTGTTTGTTTTTTTCTTGTAAATTTGTTTGAGTTCATTGTAGATTCTGGATATTAGCCCTTTGTCAGATGAGTAGGTTGCGAAAATTTTCTCCCATTTTGTAGGTTGTCTGTTCACTCTGATGGTAGTTTCTTTTGCTGTGCAGAAGCTCTTTAGTTTAATTAGATCCCGTTTGTCAATTTTGGCTTTTGTTGCCGTTGCTTTTGGTGTTTTAGACATGAAGTCCTTGTCCATGCCTATGTCCTGAATGGTAATGCCTAGGTTTTCTTCTAGGGTTTTTATGGTTTTAGGTCTAACGTTTAAGTCTTTAATCCATCTCAAATTAATTTTTGTATAAGGTGTAAGGAAGGGATCCAGTTTCAGCTTTCTACCTATGGCTAGCCAGTTTTCCCAGCACCATTTATTAAATAGGGAATCCTTTCCCCATTGCTTGTTTTTCTCAGGTTTGTCAAAGATCACATAGTTGTAGATATGTGGCATTATTTCTGAGGGCTCTATTCTGTTCCATTGATCTATATCTCTGTTTTGGTACCAGTACCATGCTGTTTTGGTTACTGTAGCCTTGTAGTATAGTTTGAAGTCAGGCAGCATGATGCCTCCAGCTTTGTTCTTTTGGCTTAGGATTGACTTGGCAATGCAGGCTCTTTTTTGATTCCATATGAACTTTAAGGTAGTTTTTTCCAATTCTGTGAAGAAAGTCATTGGTAGCTTGATGGGGATGGCATTGAATCTATAAATTACCTTGGGCAGTATGGCCATTTTCACGATCTTGATTCTTCCTACCCATGAGCATGGAATGTTCTTCCATTTGTTTGTATCCTCTTTTATTTCATTGAGCAGTGGTTTGTAGTTCTCCTTGAAGAGGTCCTTCATATCCCTTGTAAGTTGGATTCCTAGGTATTTTATTCTCTTTGAAGCAATTGTGAATGGGAGTTCACTCATGATTTGGCTCTCTGTTTGTCTGTTATTGGTGTATAAGAATGCTTGTGATTTTTGTACATTGATTCTGTATCCTGAGACTTTGTAGAAGCTGCTTATCAGCTTAAGGAGATTTTGGGCTGAGACAATGGGGTTTTCTATATATACAATCATGTCATCTGCAAACAGGGACAATTTGACTTCCTCTTTTCCTAATTGAATACCCTTTATTTCCTTCTCCTGCCTAATTGCCCTGGCCAGAACTTCCAACACTATGTTGAATAGGAGTGGTGAAAGAGGGCATCCCTGTCTTGTGCCAGTTTTCAAAGGGAATGCTTCCAGTTTTTGCCCATTCAGTATGATACTGGCTGTGGGTTTGTTATAGATGGCTCTTATTATTTTGAGATACGTCCCATCAATGCCTAATTTATTGAGAGTTTTTAGCATGAAGCGTTGTTGAATTTTGTCAAAGGCCTTTTCTGCATCTATTGAGATAATCGTCCGGTTTTTGTCTTTGGTTCTGTTTATATGATGGATTACATTTATTGATTTGCATATATTGAACCAGCCTTGCATCCCAGAGCCTGGGCAACTTCTAGAGAAAACAGATTTGTTTGCCTCACAGTTCTGCAGGCTGTACTGGAAGCATGGCACCAGCATCTGTTTCCTGTGACGGCCTCAGGCTGCTCCCACTCTGGCAGAAGGGAAGGAGGGTCTGTCTGTGCAGAGACCACAGAGATCACATGGCAAGAGAGGGAGCAAGGGGGAGGGCGAGCGATGGAGCTTCCAAGCTCTTTTTAACAACCAGCCCTCCGGGAACTAATAGAGGGGGAACTTGCTAACCCCATCATGTGGGGCAGCATTAATCTATTCATGATGGATCCACCTCCATGACTCAAACACCTTCCCATAGGCCCAAACTTCCACACTGGGGGTTAAATTTCAATATTTCAGTGTGAGGTTTCAAAGGGTCAAACATCTAAACTAAAGCAGCTGTATCCTCAGCATGTTCTATGGTTTCTATGAGAGCTGTAACTGAGAAAGCAGGAGAAAGCTGGGTCTCCCGCCATCAGGCTGCTTGTCCTAAGGAGATGTTCCATGTGGTTACCTGTCAATCAAGAAATGAGACAATCCATAAAGAGGAACTGCTATGATTAGCTTCTTATTGGATTCCCATCTTCCTCCAGGTATCTGCAGACACCTGCATGTTCTGATTGGGACCTCAGTGGTCATCTTCCTCTTCATCCTCCTCCTCTTCTTTCTCCTTTATCGCTGGTGCTCCAACAAAAAGAGTAAGTCTCACGAAGCAGAGGCCAGAGAGCTCAGGGCCATGTGGGGAAGCAGGATGGGAGCACGCGGGTGTGTGTTCCTCACTGGCAGGATGGTCCCTGGCCCAAGGGAGGAGCCACAGAGGCAGGGCTTTCTAGAGAGAGCACCAGACAACCTGCCCCTGCCTTCAGCTCACAGACCATTGCCTGGTTCTGAACTGTATCCTCACATCCCCTGCAGCCACTGACATCCAGAAGCTTCCATGACAGGCAGAAAGTGGGAGACAGAATCAATGGGATGCCAATTGAGAGCACTTCATGGGATGGGGTCTTGAACTCAGAGAGATAGAATGTCTGAGTCTGGATGTTGGCAGCTGAAGAGCCTCAGGCACCTACAGCCTCCCCCTGTGGGTTGGTGTCTGCCCATGAAATGAGGACCCAGAAGGGCCCTCCAAGCGGTTTTGATGACTTCCGTCTCCTACAGATGCTGCTGTAATGGACCAAGAGCCTGCGGGGGACAGAACAGTGAATAGGCAGGTAGGTCCTCCTCGGCCCAGCCTCACGGATACAGTCTTATCCCTAATAGTCCTGAAAAATGTGAGCACCCTCCCTCACTCAGCATTTCCCTCTCTCCAGGACTCTGATGAACAAGACCCTCAGGAGGTGACGTACGCACAGTTGGATCACTGCGTTTTCATACAGAGAAAAATCAGTCGCCCTTCTCAGAGGCCCAAGACACCCCTAACAGATACCAGCGTGTACACGGAACTTCCAAATGCTGAGCCCAGATCCAAAGTTGTCTCCTGCCCACGAGCACCACAGTCAGGTCTTGAGGGGGTTTTCTAGGGAGACAACAGCCCTGTCTCAAAACCAGGTTGCCAGATCCAATGAACCAGCAGCTGGAATCTGAAGGCATCAGTCTGCATCTTAGGGGATCGCTCTTCCTCACACCACGAATCTGAACATGCCTCTCTCTTGCTTACAAATGCCTAAGGTCGCCACTGCCTGCTGCAGAGAAAACACACTCCTTTGCTTAGCCCACAAGTATCTATTTCACTTGACCCCTGCCCACCTCTCCAACCTAACTGGCTTACTTCCTAGTCCTACTTGAGGCTGCAATCACACTGAGGAACTCACAATTCCAAACATACAAGAGGCTCCCTCTTAACACGGCACTTACACACTTGCTGTTCCACCTTCCCTCATGCTGTTCCACCTCCCCTCAGACTATCTTTCAGCCTTCTGTCATCAGTAAAATTTATAAATTTTTTTTATAACTTCAGTGTAGCTCTCTCCTCTTCAAATAAACATGTCTGCCCTCATGGTTTCGATAATGTGACTCTTTATTCGCCAAAAGTTTCCAGTGTTATCATTACTATGTCCATATAACCTGATATGTTCTCTACTGGGTTCTCAGCCCTGGACTCTGAGCTTCTGGAAGCAGGGTGGAGCCTCATTTGTCTCTGGGACTCCAATTTCCATCCAAAGATGCAGCACATAGGAGGTTCCAAGGATCGTGAATCACATGAACAAGTGATATTCTTACTCTCTGCAGACCTGGAAAGCTGGCAGAGTCATTCCAAGATGAAACATTTGTAGAGTCATAGGCCTTGTTAGTCTCATCTCCACAGGGACACATGTCAACACATCATCTTTCATACTATAAATATACAGTCGCTCCTCCATATCTGTGGGGTTTACAGGTGTTTATTGAACCAAATATAAATCAAAAATATTCAGAGAAAAAATCCACAAAGTTCCAAAAAGCAAAAATACTATATTGTGTGGACACAAGTGAGGTGGTGTGTAGGCTGTATCAGGAATTATAAGTAATCTAGAGATGATTTCATGTATACAGGAGGATGTGCATGGGTTATATGCAAACGCTGTGCCATTTCATGCAACAGGCTTGAGCATCTGCAGATTTTGGTGTCTGGTAGGGAGGGGGGTTTCCTGGAACCAATCACCCATGAATAGTGAAGGACAACTGTATATAATTTTCATTCATCAATTTTATAAATAAATCATCAAAATGTATGATAATAAGATAAAAAATTAGCAGTGTTTTTATGGTGTGAAAATAAGCTTAGATTTATTTTTTCCTGCTTGTAACCCTCTGGTCCAATGTTATTTACTGAGAAGACATTCTATTCCACCTTAATCCGCATGGCAGCCTCTGTCAACTATAAAAGGACTGTGTGTACACAGATGTATTTTACACACTCTTTTCTGCTCAGTGGCTCTCTGTGTCCACTCTCATGAGGATGCTGCACTTTATGTGGCCTTATAGAACCCCTTAAAATTTGGCAGCCTGAATCCTCTAATTTCTCCTTCCTCTTTAAGATTGCCATTATTATTATTATTGGCTATTTGCTTTTCCATGTAAATTTGTAATCATTTTTCTCATTTCCACCAAAAACAATGCTTGTAATTTTGTTGTGACTCCCTTACATCTACAGGTAAGTTCTGTCCTATAGAAACATAATGCAAACCACATGCATTCTTTCAAACTTGCTAGTATCCAAATTAAAAAGCTAACAAGAAACAGATAAAATTAATTTAAGTTAACCCAATGGACCCAAAATATTATTAACCCAACAGACCCAAAATATTAACCTAATAGATCCAAAATATTATTTTATTATACAAGTAGACTCAAAATATTATCATTTCAACATGTAATCATGTGTCATCTTGGAAAACATCAGATCCCTGTCTAGGTGGGCAAAGATTTTTCTTCGTAATATCTCATTTCCACATTTCCACTTGGCACAGAAACTGCCCCCAAGGCTCAGGATACTAAGATGCAGTAGGAATGGGTAGATGTATCTGGAGGAAAGTGACTGAATGAAATTGAGACATCAGAGTCTGGGAAACTCACTAGAACTACAGGGACAGTGTGGGGGAGGGAATTGGGAGATGTTGATCAAAGGATACAAACTATCAGGTATTCAGGAGGAATGGGTCTGAAGATCTCTTGTACAGCTTTGCCACTATGGTTGACAATACTGTACTCTATACTTGAAATTTACCAGGAAAGTAGATTTTTTTTTTTAAATATGGAACACTTCACGAATTTGCGTGTCATTCTTGCGCAGGGGCCATGCTAGTTTTCTCTGTATCGTTCCAATTTTAGTATATGTGCTGCCGAGGCAAGCATGGGAGAGTAGA